>NT_187650.1:300000-378547 GCF_000001405.40 Homo sapiens
TGAGTGTACAAGTATAAATCAATTAAGTGCCAGATTTTGATAATCACCAGCCGCTCATTCAAGTCGTATGTTGCAAAGTTACTCTTACCCTTTTTTTTACATTACTTGATAAAGGCAATGTTTAATTACGTATTTCCTGTTAACTAGCTGGTAGTGTTCATACCTAAAGTCAGTAAATAATGTTAAGAATTTTTTCCAGCTGAGCAAATGAATATGTATCTCATTGTAAGAAATCAAGAAGAGGATATAAAATATAATCAGGATGTGGACTCTAAAACGGAATAAGCTCTATGTCCTGTAACTTTTATCACTTGTAATAATACAGCATTCTCACCCTGTTAAATGGAAATTTAGAGCAGCCTTAAATTCCGGAATAATTAAAATTGCTATTTGGATTGAAAAAGCCCTTAGGCAACATTTATTGAATATTAGGAAATAACTTTTATAAGATTAGAATCCATTTTTTATAGAAACCAAATTTAAAAGTATACATATTTTAATAAAAGTGTTGTGGTAATAACCAAAATTGAACACACAGTTTTAAAGCTTTTTATATTTAGTAGCAGTTGAATATATATGGCATGTTTTACATAGATTAATTTTATTTTTCTTTGTTTAAACAGGAGAGCCAAATTGAAAGCCGACAGATACTGCAAGTGACTGGGATTTTTGTTTCTGCCTTATCTTTCTGTGTTTTTTTCTGAATAAAATATTCAGAGGAAATGCTTTTACAGAGTTCTTGAGTTGTGAAATTATTGTTTAGCTAGTTTAACCAGGATTAAACAAGTTTAATCAGGATTCTTCATGGATGTACTTTTTAGCTAACTACAGTTTTTCACATGGAAATGAAACTTACAGTTCACACTTAATGTACCACAGAATTTTTTTCTGGATTTCCTGTCCTGAAGCATGAAGTGTACTAGAAACCAATTCTTCCTGCGCTACTTGTGGAATCTGTCTTACTGGATCATAATCTTACTTTACTTTATATAATAGATGCTTAATCAGTGCCTTTAATAGAAGTTAGAAACTCCCAATCCAATCAACAAGGCTTTGGTTCTACCTTCTAAGTACTACCCAGATCACAGACAATCCAAATATCAGAACTAGGGGGCTGGGCAGAGAGGACAAATCATCTATTAGGGAGTGGGACAGAAAGCAGAAACATTACAAAGGAGCAAGTAGGCTCAGAACAGAGGGGAGAGTAGTACTGGGGAAACTCCCTGCTGAGGACAGGTTAGCCACAGTGGATATGTATGTGATGCCTTTGTCCTTGTGGGCTGGAATGGAAGCTGGTAAGGGAATAGGAACAGCTCCAGTCTACAGCTCCCAGCGTGAGCGATGCAGAAGACGTGTGATTTCTTCATTTCCAACTGAGGTACCAGGTTCATCTCACTGGGGAGTGTCAGGCAGTGGGTGCAGGACAGTGGGTACAGTGCACCGAGCATGAGCCAAAGCAGGGCGAGGCATCACCTTACCCAGGAAGAACAAGGGGTCAGGGAATTCCCTTTCCTAGTCAAAGAAAGGGGTGACAGACGGCACCTGGAAAATTGGGCCACTCCCACCCTAATACTGCGCTTTTCCAACACTCTTAGCAAACGGCACACCAGGAGATTATATCCTGCGCCCGGCTTGGAGGGTCCTGCGCCCAAGGAGCCTCGCTCATTGCTAGCACAGCAGTCTGAGATCAAACTGCAAGGCGGCAGCGAGGCTGGGAGAGGGGCACCTGCCATTGCCGAGGCTTGAGTAGGTAAAGTGGCTGGGAAGCTCAAACTGGGTGGAGCCCACTGCAGCGCAAGGAGGCCTGCCTGCCTCTGTAGACTCCACCTCTAGGGGCAGGGCATAGCCAAACAAAAGGCAGCAGAAAACTCTGCAGACTTAAATGTCCCTGTCTGACAGCTTTGAATAGAGTAGTGGTTCTCCCAGCAAGCAGCTGGAGATCTGAGAACAGACAGACTGCCTCCTCAAGTGGGTCCCTGACCCCCGAGTAGCCTAACTGGGAGGCATCCCCCAGTAGGGGAAGACTGACACCTCACATGGCCGGGTACTCCTCTGAGACAAAACTTTCAGAGGAACAATCAGGCAGCAACATTTGCTGTTCACCAATATCTGTTGTTCTGCAGCCTCCACTGCTGATACCTGGGCAAACGGTCTGGAGTGGACCTCCAGTAAACTCCAACAGACCTGCAGCTGAGGGTCCTGACTGTTAGAAGGAAAACTAACAGAAAGGACATTCACACCAAAACTCCATCTGTACATCACCATCATCAAAGACCAAAGGTAGATAAAACCACAAAGATGGGGAAAAAACAGAGCAGAAAAACTGGAAACTAAAAATCAGAGCACCTCTCCTCCTCCAAAGGAACACAGCTCCTCACCAGCAACGGAACAAAGCTGGACGGAGAATCATTGACGAGTTGAGAGAAGGCAGCTTCAGACAAACTACTCCGAGCTACAGGAGGAAATTCAAACCAATGGCAAAGAAGTTAAAAGCTTTGAAAAAAAATTAGACAAATGGATAACTAGAATAACCAATGCAGAGAAGTCCTTAAAGGACCTGATGGAGCTGAAAACCACGGCATGAGAACTACGTGATGAATGCACAAGCCTCAGTAGCCGATTTGATCAACTGGAAGAAAGGGTATCAGTGATGGAAGATCAAATGAATGAAATGAAGCGAGAAGTTTAGAGAAAAAAGAATAAAAAGAAACGAACAAAGCCTCCAAGAAATACGGGACTATGTGAAAAGACCAAATCTATGTCTGATTGGTGTACCTTAAAGTGATGGGGAGAATGAAACCAAGTTGGAAAACACTCTGCAGGATATTATCCAGGAGAACTTCCCCAATCTAGCAAGGCAGGCCAATATTTAAATTCAGGAAATACAGAGAATGCCACAAAGATACTCCTTGAGAAGAGCAACTCCAAGACACATAATTATCAGATTCACCAAAGTTGAAGGAAAAAATGTTAAGGGCAGCCAGAGAGAAAGGTTGGGTTACCCACAAAGGGAAGCCCATCAGACGAACAGCTGATCTCTCCGCAGAAACTCTACAAGCCAGAAGAGAGTGGGGGCCAATATTCAACATTCTTAAAAGAATTTTCAACCCAGAATTTCATATCTAGCCAAACTAAGCTTCATAAGTGAAAGAGAAATAAAATCTACAGACAAGCAAATGCTGAGAGATTTTGTCACCAGCAGGCCTGCCCTAACAGAGCTCCTGAAGGAAGCACTAAACATGGAAAGGAACAACCTGTACAAGCCACTGCAAAAACATGCCAAATTGTAAAGAACATCGAGGCTAGGAAGAAACTGCATCAACTAATGAGCAAAATAACCAGCTAATATCATAATGACAGGATCAAATTCACACATAACAATATTAACCTTAAATGTAAATGGGCTAAATGCTCCAATTAAAAGAGAGAGACTGGCAAATTGGATAGAGTCAAGACCCATCAGTGTGCTGTACTCAGGAAACCCATCTCACATGCAGAGACACACATAGGCTCAAAATAAAGGGATGGAGGAAGATCTACCAAGCAAATGGAAAAAAAAAGGCAGGGGTTGCAATCCTAGTATCTGATAAAACAGACTTTAAACCAACAAAGATCAAAAGAGACAAGGCCATTACATAATGGTAAAGGGATCAATTCAACAAGAAGAACTAACTATCCTAAATATATATGCACCCAATACAGGAGCACCCAGATTCATAAAGCAAGTCCTTAGAGACCTACAAAGAGACTTAGACTCCCACACAATAATAATGGGAGACTTTAACACCCCACTGTCAACATTAGACAGATCAACAAGACAGAAAGTTCACAAGGATATCCAGGAATTGAACCCAGCTCTGCACCAAGCAGATCTAGTAGACATCTACAGATCTCTCCACCCCAAATCAACAGAATATACATTCTTTTCAGCACCACACCACACCTCTTCCAAAATTGACCACATAGTTGGAAGTAAAGCACTCCTTAGCAAATGTAAAAGAACGGAAATTATAACAAACTGTCTCTCAGACCACAGTACAATCAAACTAGAACTCAGGATTAAGAAACTCACTCAAAACTGCTCAACTACATGGAAACTGAACAACCTGCTCCTGAATGACTACTGGGTACATAACGAAATGAAGGCAGAAATAAAGATGTTCTTTGAAACCAACGAGAACAAAGACACAACATACCAGAATCTCTGAGACACATTCAAAGCAGTGTGTAGAGGGAAATTTATAGCACTAAATGCCCACAAGAGAAAGCAGGAAAGATCTAAAATTGACACCCTAACATCACAATTAAAAGAACTAGAGAAGAGCAAACACATACAAAAGCTAGCAGAAGGCAAGAAATAACTAAGATCAGAGCAGAACTGAAGGAAATAGACACAAAAAACCCTTCAAAAACTCAATGAATCCAGGAGCTGGTTTTTTGAAAAGATCAACAAAATTGATAGACTGCTAGCAAGACTAATGAAGAAAAGAGAGAAGAATCAAATAGGTGCAATAAAAAATGATAAAGGGGATATCACCACTGATCCCACAGAAATACAAACTACCATCAGAGAATACTATAAACACCTCTACGCAAATCAACTAGACAATCTAGAAGAAATGGATACATTCCTGGACACATACACCCTCCCAAGACTAAACCAGGAAGAACTTGAATCTCTGAATAGACCAATAACAGGCTCTGTAATTGAGGCAATAATTAACAGCTTACCAACCGAAGAAAGGCCAGGACCAGATGGATTCACAGCCTAATTCTACCAGAGGTACAAGGAGGAGCTCATACCACTCCTTCTGAAACTATTCCAATCAATAGAAAAAGAGGGAATCCTCCCTAACTCATTTTATGAGGCCAGCATCATCCTGATACCAAAGCCTGGCAGAGACACAACAAAAAAAGAGAATTTTAGACCAATATCCCTGATAAACATCGATGCAAAAATCCTCAATAAAATACTGGCAAACCGAATCCAGCAGCACATCAAAAAGCTTATCCACCATGATCAAGTGGGCTTCATCCCTGGGATGCAAGGCTGGCTCAACATATGCAAATCAATAAATGTAATCCAGCATATAAACAGAACCAATGACAAAAACCACATGATTATCTCAATAGATGCAGAAAAGGCCTTTGACAAAATTCAACAAACCTTCATGCTAAAAACTCTCAAAAAATTAGGTATTGATGGGACATATCTCAAAATAGTAAGAGCTATCTATGACAAACCCACAGCCAATAGCATACTGAATGGGCAAAAACTGGAAGCATTCCCTTTGAAAACCAGCACAAGACAGGGATGCCCTCTCTCACCACTCCTATTCAACATAGTGTTGGAAGTTCTGGCCAGGGCAATCAGGCAGGAGAAGGAAATAAAGGGTATTCAATTATGAAAAGAGGAAGTCAAATTGTCCCTGTTTGCAGATGACATGATTGTGTATCTAGAAAACCCCATCATCTCAGCCCAAAATCTGCTTAAGCTGATAAGCAACTTCAGCAAAGTCTCAGGATACAAAATCAATGTGCAAAAATCACAAGCATTCTTATACACCAATAATAGACTAACAGAGAGCCAAATCATGAGTGAACTCCCATTCACAACTGCTTCAAAGAGAATAAAATACCTAGGACTCCAACTTACAAGGGACATGAAGGACCTCTTTAAGGAGAAATACAAACCACTGCTCAATGAAATAAAAGAGGATACAAACAAATGGAAGAACATTCCATGCTCATTGGTAGGAAGAATCAATACCGTGAAAATGGCCATACTGCCCAAGGTAATTTATAGATTCAATGCCATCCCCATCAAGCTACCAATGACTTTCTGCACAGAAATAGAAAAAAATACTTTAAAGTTCATATGGAATCAAAAAAGAGCCTGCATTGCCAAGTCAATCCTAAGCCAAAAGAACAAAGCTGGAGGCATCATGCTACCTGACTTCGAACTATACTACAAGGCTACAGTAACCAAAACAGCATGGTACTGGTACCAAAACAGAGATATAGAACAATGGAACAGAATAGAGCCCTCAGAAATAATGCCACATGTCTACAACCATCTGATCTTTGACAAACCTGACAAAAACAAGCAATGGGGAAAGGATTCCTTATTTAACAAATGGTGCTGGGAAAACTGGCCAGACATATGTAGAAAGCTGAAACTGGATCCCTTCCTTACACCTTATACAAAAATTAATTCAAGATGGATTAAAGACTTAAATGTTAGACCTAAAACCATAAAAACCCTAGAAGAAAACCTAGGCAATACCATTCAGGACATAGGCATAGGCAAGGACTTCATGTCTAAAACACCAAAAGCAATGGCAACAAAAGCCAAGATTGACAAATGGGATCTAATTAAACTAAAGAGCTTCTGCACAGCAAAAGAAACTACCATCAGAGTGAACAGGCAACCTACAGAATGGGAGAAAATTTTTGCAATCTACTCATCTGACAAAGGGCTAATATCCCGAATCTACAATGAACTCAAATTTACAAGAAAAAAAACAAACAATCCCATCAAAAAGTGGGCAAAGGATATGAACAGACACTTCTCAAAAGAAGACATTTATGCAGCCAACAGACACATGAAAAAATGCTCATCATCACTGGCCATCAGAGAAATGCAAATCAAAACCACAATGAGATACCATCTCACACCAGTTAGAATGGTGATCATTAAAAAGTCAGGAAACAACAGGTGCTGGAGAGGATGTGGAGAAATAGGAACACTTTTACACTGTTGGTGGGACTGTAAACTAGTTCAACCATTGTGGAAGTCCGTGTGGTGGTTCCTCAGGGATCTAGAACTAGAAATACCATTTGACCCAGCCATCCCATTACTGGGTATATACCCAAAGGATTATAAAACATGCTGCTATAAAGACACATGCACACATATGTTTATTGTGGCACTATTCACAATAGCAAAGACTTGGAACCAACCCAAATGTCTAACAATGATTGACTGGATTGAGAAAATGTGGCACATATACACCATGGAATACTATGCAGCCACGAAAAATGATGAGTTCATGTCCTTTGTAGGGACATGGATGAAGCTGGAAACCATCATTCTCAGCCAACTATTGCAAGGACAAAAAACCAAACACAGCATGTTCTCACTCATTGGTGGGAATTGAACAATGAGAACACTTGGACACAGGAAGGGGAACATCACACACCAGGGCCTGCTGTGGGGTCAGGGGAGGGGGGAGAGATAGCGATATGAGATATAACTAATGTTAAATGAAGAGTTAATGTGTGCAGCACACCAACATGGCACATGTATACGTATGTAACAAACCTGCCCGTTGTGCACATGTACCCTAAAACTTAAAGTACAATAAAGAAAAAAAAAATTCCATAGTGGCGATATAGAACAGTTTGTTTAACCATTCAGTCATTGGAGGATATCTGGGTTGTTTCTAGTTCTAGGCTATTACAAATAAAGGTGCTCTGAACATTTCTGTTAAAAAAAAAAAAAAGTTAAGACGCTACGTGTTGCTTAGGTCTGCTTTGTTGAAGCCTGTCTCTTTCAGAGTTCCTAAACACAATATTCCCATGGCATCTAATCCTAGTGAGTGCTCCAAATCCAGGCTGTGTATCAGATGCCACGGGAAATTCTGCCTCAGGACTGAGTTTGGTTCAAGCATCTGGATGTTGTCAAAAGTCCACGTTGTGTGCTGGCCTAATCTGAAAGACCCTAACTAGTTCTAGCCTTTAAATGCCTTCTGTCATCAAATCTAGAGTTACATGGCATTTGTACAAGCTAGGTAGCTGAGGCACGGAATCAGCCCTATAAAGGAGCTTTTGGTGCTTTTGTTGTAGGTCTAGCTCCAACTTGGCACTCCAGTTCCCATAGCTAGACTTTCTCTCATCGTGTGTTCTGATCCTTGGATTAGGAACAAAGTAACTACTCTGATACAAAGCAGTGGTTTCGGTTCCCAACTAGTGACTATTTTGCCTCCCAGGGGACATTTTTGGTTTTCACAACTGGGATACGGTGTTAGAGGGTAGAGGCTAGGGATGCTGCGAAGCATGTGGCAGAATCCTCTTCCGCCCCGAATGCTAATAGTGCCAACGTTGTGGAGGCTTCCCACCCAAGGGCTTGGTCTATTCCTTGCTTTTGCCAGCTCCCTAAACCTTAAACACATTTCAAATTTATATGCATAAGCATCTCCTAGGGACCTGCCCGTTTCCAATATCGACTACTGAGACCCATCCGTAGAGATGCAGGCTTAGGAGGTCTAGGATTGGGCTGAAAATTTGCATTTTAACAAGTACTCCAGGTCATTCTGAAGCAAGTGATACAAACCACACACTGAGGAACACGCCTTCAAGAGACTGAATCTTGCTTCCCAACACTAGCTTGCTATCTGAGACCATCTGCCTGCTGCTGGCTTTCCTGGCACAAACATTCTGCATGTAGGCACAGTGTGCTCCTGGACTCCATGTCACCTCGTTCACCCTCATGTTCCCTCGGTTCCTGTCCCCAGTCCAGCAAGCAGAACTGATTACAGATCTTAACAGAAGATACAGATTGAAAATAACTTGCCTGTTCCCGTGGACTTTATCCACTAGTCAAGGAGGACAAGTGGACAAGGGGAGAGGGTAGGTGGGGGCTCCTTCCCTGTTCCTCCCATTCCACTTTATACAAACCCCAGCTAGACCACTGGGAGAGCAACAGAGGTTAAGAATGACTGCATCTAAATATTTAATTTGGCCCACTCTTCTTCTGTCTTGAACACAAGGGTATCATGAGTTTTGTTTAAAGCACTACTGAAACCAAGATAAATTCTGGCTTAGCATGCCCCTGACAGATCAATCTAGTAATCTTATCAAAAAGATTGAGAAATCGGATGGTTGCTGTGTCTGGGTAGAAAGAAGTAGACATGGGAGACTTTTCATTTTGTTCTGCACTAAGAAAAATTCTTCTGCCTTGGGATCCTGTTGATCTGTGACCTTACCCCCAACCCCTTGCTCTCTGAAACATGTGCTGTGTCCACTCAGGGTTGAATGGATTAAGGGCGGTGCAAGATGTGCTTTGTTAAACAGATGCTTGAAGGCAGCATGCTCGTTAAGAGTCATCACCACTCCCTACTCTCAAGTACCCAGGGACGCAAACACTGCGGAAGGCCGCAGGGTCCTCTGCCTAGGAAAACCAGAGACCTTTGTTCACTTGTTTATCTGCTGACCTTCCCTCCACTATTGTCCTGTGACCCGGCCAAATCCCCCTCTGCGAGAAACACCCAAGAATGATCAATAAAAAAAAAAAAAAAACCAAGATTACCTAAAAGCACTAACCAAAGGAAAACTCCCTCACCTCAACCCGTGACTGCTCACATTTTTCAGATTGAATAATTTCAATTGTATTTTAAGGTTGACTCTTTACCACCTCCAAGCTGCTCCTGAACACAACTATTATTTTTTAATTTTGAAAAATTTTTCACTTCTAGAATTTCCACTTGAGGCTTTGTTATTACTGTAGTTTCTTCTTCTCTGCTGTGATTTTCTATCCATTTATTATAAGAGTTTTTGGGGTTTTGATTTTAGTAAGAATTATAATAACTACTTTAAAAAATCCATACTAATTCCAACATCTCGGTCGTCTCGAGGTCAGTCTCGATTGATTGCCTTTTTCTTTGAATATGTTTCTTGGTATGTTTGATATAATGGGATTGAATCCTGAAGATTGTAAAAACTGGATATTTTTTGTTCCTCTGAAAATTGATAATTTTTTGTATTTTTTTTTCTATTGTATACTTTACATTTTCCTCCAAGGGTTTTAACATTTCTAGTTCTCAAAACATTTACATTTATGTTAAAAATTATACAAAGTAGCTTGGTACAGTGGCTCCCATCTGTAATCCCAGCACTTTGAGAGGCCAAGGCAGGAGGGTCACTCGAGTCCAGGACTTGGAAACCAGCCTAGACAACAGGACAAGACCTTGTCTCCACAAAAAATTATTAGGGTGATACAAAAAGTAATTGCAGGTTTTGCCATTACTTTCAATGGCAAAACCCACAATTCCTCTTGCACCAACCTGATAAAAAATAAGCTGGGTATGGTGGTGGTATGTGCCGGTGGTCTCAGCTATTTGGGAAGTGAAGGCAGAGGTGGGAGGATTGCTTGAGCCCAGGAGTTCCAGACCACCCTGAGACCCTGTCTCTACGGGGAAAAAAAAAAAAAAAAAAAAAAATTAGCTGGGCCCACGTACCTGTGGTACTAGCTACTTGGGAGGCAAAGGCAGAGGTGCCAGAATCACTTGAGCCCAGAAGCTCAAGGCTGCAGGGCACTGTGATTGTGCCACTGCACTCCAGCCTAAGTGATGGAGCATGACCCTGACTCCAGATAATAATAATAATTACAAAAAGGAAAGACCTAGAACACCAGGTTAAAGTATTCTAAAATTTAGCTGACTTACTCTGCTCTCTATAAAACAGGGTTGCCACAGAAAATATAGCATGCCCAGTTAATTTTAAATTTCAGATAAACAAATACTTTTTTCAGTGTAAGTATACCCCATGCAATATTTGGGATATGCTTATACTAAAACTTATTCTTTGTTTATCTGAAATTGAAATTTAACTGGGTATTACATAATTATAGCAGCCTGACCATAAAAGATATGTAGGCTGAGCAAAATTCTACTTTAAACTTCAAGCTTTATAATAAATGCATTATTAATCAACAACTATTATTTACTGAGACCTGTGTAGATCCCCATATTTATTTTTAAATGTGGAACTAGGAAATCTATATAAAGAACATTTATAGAAATGAATGACTGTTCTATAGAGCTGAAAGGAAAACTCTAGCTTTTATTTTTCTCCCCAAACTTAAGCTTTATTTTACATTTGTATAAACAATAAAATTACCACTCAACTTTGGAAGCACAGATCATAATATGAAAATAAAGCAAAGATCCCAGAAACATTTAACAGGCAACAAATCTTTGACATCATCTTACTATAGCAACTAAACGTATAATAATTTAGAACGATCCATTAATTATAAGAATAAATTCTTTTACAAAGCATAACTATTAATATTATTTGACCATCATAAGAACAAACATTTTAACTAAAACACCATGAATACTTTACAGAAAGGGGCGAGTTGCAGACACAGTCCTTCTTGGATTTCTTTTAACACCAGGCTTTCTTCCCTTTTGACCTGAGCTGGGAGTTGAATATTTCCTCTCTTTGCCCTCTGACCCTCTAGTCTCTGAAGCATCTTTTGTACTAGAGGTGTGTGCAGAGACTTCCTGGAAATTTGGATCTGTAAATTGTGCTGTTGTATCTTCTAAGCACTGCAGTGATCTGGATATAGAGCTGTTGCTCTTGCTTGTATAAGTGTAATATTCTGATTCAAAAAAGGAAGTGAAAGGAAGGGAGTTGATTACATTTGGCTACAGAAAAAAAAAGATGACACTAATAATAAAAATAAATAATAATTGTACTTGTAATATAAACATCTGAAAGTTTTAGTTCTAAGAATAGCAGTCCACATAAGAAAATTAGGTAAAAATAATTAATATCTATTATAATTATTTTTCTTTAACCAAAGAAAAAGTATAATTTAAAGATGGCTGTTTAAGCATCAAATTGCAGCCATTGGTAAAAGTAGATATTAGTCATATTTATTAAGTGACACACAGTGATACTGAAGGCACTTGTTTCTCAGCAACATCATTTTTTCCCCAATAAGAACGTACTGCATCCTAGACGTGAAATGAAAATAAGCTTTAATTTTCACCACAGGAGGGCGACAACCAGAGAACTGAGGGGGTACAGATCCATTAGAGGACCATATCCATGAGCTTAAAATGCTCTACTGTAAGAGCAAGAATTTTTAAAGAATCTCGGTGAAGGCTCCTTTTCAAAAAAGCACAAAGATTAAAGCCTTTGAAATGTAAATTATTTTTTGCAGTTATTACATTGAGGACAAAGTTATAGTCGCAAAGTTAAGATTTTTATAACTATCCCTAAAATTGATCCTCAGTGACTCCTTGATCTACATATGTTAAGGAAAAAGGCAAGACACAGATATGTTTAAATAGTTTCCAATTTTCAGTAATCAGCTTCAATATAAGGTATACCCAAATAATGGTGAATTAAATGACCATGAAAGCACGTTATAGCAGATGCCCGCTCATCAATATGCCTTGAAATTAAAGGTTTATAAGGTGCATAAGGGCAAAGGTTTTGATGTTGCCATTACATTCGCAAAAGTATGTGAGGCACGTACAGCATGAAGTTCACTAAGTGCTTGCAACATAACCAGCACTAAATTTTGTTGAATAAATAAATGAATACTTTTGTATAGCATCTGTTCAAAATCTGATGTAAAAATGAAAATAATCTGAAAATATGCAAAACTGAAATTTCCCACAGACGGCTGCCAATTCATACAAACCATAAGATGAATTTCAAAATGAGAACGTGACAATAAAATCAAGTTTCAAAATGGCTGGCCTTTTTTTTTTTTAGCAAAACCCATGTTCAAAAAAAGGAATAAGACATCAAATGTTTTGAGAACCAAAATTTTACTGCTGCTTTTCTAACACCCTGTTGCTAACCTGAGCCCCCATCCTCTTACTGTCAATAACAGATTTTCATCATCAAACACAAGAAACACGCTGGGCACAGTGGCTCACACCTGTAATCCCAGCACTTTGGGAGACTGAGGCGGGTGGATCACTTGAGGTCAGGAGTTTGAGACCAGCCTGGCCGACAGGGTGAAACCTCATCTCTACTGAAAATACAAAAATTAGCTGGGTGTGGTGGTGGGCGCCTGTAATCCCAGCTACTCGGGAGGCTGAGGCAGGAGAATCGCTTGAACCTGGGAGGTGGAGGTTGCAGTGAACTGAGATCGAGCCACTGTACTCCAGCCTGGGTGACAGAGCAAGACTCTGCCTTAAAAAAAAAAGATAAAAATACAATAAACATCTCATAAAAACAAAATAATCACTATTCTAACAAACCACAGTCCACAAATAAGAAGTTTCAAAAAGTAAGTTTAAAAGAAAAAAATTTTTACCAACCACTCACTTTTAAGCTGATAAAACTGCATGGCTTCCTTAAGAAACAAGAATCCCTTCGATGCTGAGCAGGTCAGTTTGGAAACCACCCCACCTCATTTTTCAGTACTTTTTTCCAAATACTTGAGTTGATCCTGAGGTTCTCTATTTCTCTCACATTTGATCCTTGCATGACTTACTGAAGTTGAAAAGTTATTTAAGAAGACACAGTGGTGTTCTTCACTCATGTAATTTGTTCATGTATCAAATAAAGGATGGAGAGAAAACTGGATGAAATACCAGAAGTTAAGAGATACATCAAAAACAGTACCATGAGGGAAAAATTTATAGCTATAAATGATTATAAAACATAAGATACTGAATCAACAACTTTACTCCTAAGGAACTAAAAACAGAGGGAAAAAGAGGGACAACTAAAAGCTAGCAAAATTTTAAAAATGATAAAGATAGCAGTGGAAATAAGTGAAATAGAGAACAGAAAAGCAATATCAAAAATCAACAAAACCAAGTTTATTCTCTGGAAAAGATCAAAACTGACAAAAATTTTATCTAGATTGACTAAGAAAAAAAGGGAATACTCAAATTACGAAACTCAGAAGAAAAATGGGTACATTACTAACAAATTTTTGGAGTAAAAAAAGGATGTAGGAGAGTACCATAAGGAACTATACACTAAAAAATTGAATAACCTAAATAAAATGAACAAATTCCTAGAAACAAAAAACCTACTAAGACTGAATCAGAAAAGTTGAATAAACCTATTCAGCAAGGAGATTCAGCAGGAAGATGGCATAAGTAATCAAAAACCCAGCAACAAAGAAAAGCCTGGACCAGATGGCTTCACTGTTGAATTCTACCCAACGTTTAAAGCAGAATTAACACCAGTTTTTCTCAAACTTTTTCAAAACGTTGAAGAGGAGGTAATGTTTTCTAACTTATTCTATGAGGCCAGTATTACCTTGACACCAAGCCAGACAAAGGCACCATAAGAAAACTACAAACAAACATCCCTTACAAATGCTGATGCAAAAATCCTCAACAAAATACCAGCAACTCAAACTTAGCAGTACACTAAAAGGATTATACACTATGAATGAGTATAATTGACTCCTGAAATAAAAGTATATTCCAACACATGAAAATCAGCGTAATATCACATTAACATAAAGAAGGAAAAAAGCCTCATGTGATCACATTTTAATCAAAGAAGAAAAAGCATTTGTCAAAATTTAACCCACATTCATGATAAAATGTACTTAATAAACTATAAAAAGAAAGAAAACACTTTAACATAATGTCATACAAAAAACAAAAACACAGCTAATGTGGTGAAAGACTGAAAGCTTTTACCCTAAGAGCAAAAACAAGGATGCCTGCTTTTACTACTTCTGTTTAATATAGTACTGAGGATTCTAGTTAGTTAAAACATGAGTAAAAGAATAAAAGATATTCCAATTTTTTTAAAAGTAAAATTATCTGTTTGCAGATGACATAACCTTATATATTAAAAATCTTTTGGTTTCTGTGAAATAAACTGTCAGATACAATAAACAAAATTCAGCAAAGCTGCAGGATACAAAATCAATACACAAAAATCAGTTGTATTTCTACAATAACAATAAACTATCTGAAGAAGAAATCAAGACAACAGTATCATGTATGATAGCATCAAAAGAATAAAATACTTAGAAACCCACTTAACCAAGAAAATGAAAAACCTGTACAGCAAAAACTATAAACATGGCATGAACGTATTAAAGATGACAAATAAATGAAAAGACATCATGTGTTTATGGACTGGAAGACAAAACCTTGTCAAGATGCCATTGTTATCTATAGTCATCTACAGATTCAATAAAATCACTATAAAAATTCCAATATTTGCAAAAATAGAAAAACCTATTCTAAAATTCAGATGAAATCTCAAAAAATCCCAAGTAGCCAAATCAATCTTAAAAACTAACAAAGTTAGAGGACTAACACCTCCTGGTTTCAAACTTACTGCAATGCTTCAGTACCCAAAACTTGTACCAGCATAGAGACAGAGACAAAGACCAATGCGATAGAAATAAAGAACCAAAAAATATGGTCATGATTTTTAACACAGGAGTCAACACTATTCAATGGGAAACGATGGTATTTTTTGAATGGTGTTTAAAATGGATATTTACATATACCCATATGTATGTATATATCCCAAATTAGCTTTTTGTCTGTCATGTATGTGGCAGATCTATTTCCCCAGTCTGTTGACTTTTGACTTAGAGGCATTTTTCTCTCACACAAAGTTTCAATTTTTATGGAGTCAAATACATCAGTCTTCTATTCAGTGACTTCTTCATGGGAATGGTGTTTGATTTTAGGATGATAAAGAAGTTGTAGATATGGATAAATTAGATAAACTAGATGGTTGGACAACACTGAATATACTGGATGCCACAGAACTGTACATTTAAACATGGTTAAAATGGTAAGTTTTATGTTGTGTATATTTTACCACCAAAAAAGGGCCAGGCTTAGATGTTTACATGTTAGGGGTTTGGAGTACCTCTAACATTTATTCCCCTCCAGGGGAATAATTTATAAACACCCACACAAGAAAAGTAGATACTGACTTCACAAATCTCCTTACAAGTCCCACAGCAAGGGCTGTCTGGGAAAGCAGAGATGGAAAAAGTCACATAAACTTGAGGTCAGTGTGAGACCTCCCATCCCCTACTCTGGAATCAGATGGAGGAAGGCAGGTATGCAGGCTGAGCTGGAGAGATGAGCTGGGGTGGGCAGAACTGTCCTCCCATGAGCCCAGACCTTAACTGCTCCCACATGCTCCCAGGCATGTATCAAACCAAGAAAGCGGCTAGGAGGGTAACACAGCTACCTGTATACAGGGAGCCATGAAATATCTGAGCTGCGCAAGTGATGCACAAGGAGATGGAAGCAGTCTGACCTTTACACAGTGACCTGGCTCAAATAATTTCAGGCTCTCAATCAGGCGAGCTCCACTTTCTCTCTGAGGTAGGTAAACTTGAGGGGTTTAAGTGGGAGTTGAGGATAATGGAAAAGAAAGCCTGGTAGTATTTCTTCTAATTCTGTTATAAATAAAAAGTAAAACAAATGCCTTTTCTCAGGGCCCAAATGTTAGGTGAAAAAATGTCATCTCAGTCATGTGATGTGGACTTCAGCAGAGCAGTACCCTCATGGTCATTTATCCTTTCCCTCTGCATGTTGTGTGCTTTTTCAGTTTACAATGTACCTGATCCACTTGTCTCATCACACTAGCTGCAAACAAGGCCACTGCATGTCACACCAGGTGGCCAGCATGTCTGTGAAGGGCAGAAACGGGGGCAGCCAAACAGCTGGCAGAGGCCAGCTAGTAAGTACCTGATGCCCACTCCATAGAGGACTCCACACTTAAAAGACAAGATAAGCAAGTGTCAGGCTGCCTCACTAGTTATCCCCCCAAATAAAAAAATAAAAGTAACCCCTCCAGGGAACATGTTTGTGTGTACACAAAGTACATGCACACAGCTACATGCAAACGGGAAAGGCTGGGAAGGAACCAAATCCACCTCTGAACACCAGTTACTTGTGGGGAAGGGGCACGTGAAGCCAACTGTCAGCATTACTCACCTTTTCAACTGATGAGCTTGCATCAATTTTGGCAATTTCTCATAAAAAGACAATTTTCACTCCTTGGGTGATCACCCAGGTCCTGCAAAACTGAGCCACCAACAACCACCTGCACCACTTCCCATGAGGCCAAATAATGGCTTCCCTCAAAGCTCAGCCCTCCCACCCACCTCCCAGTCCTGTACCGTGCAGGGGGGCTGCCGGCCTCCTGGGGTGCAGGGGGGCTGCCGGCCTCCTGGGGTGCAGGGGTCCAGGCCAAACCCAACCTACAGATGGTTGGTGAAACCAGCACGTATCCAAGGGCCTTTTCCCCACCTGTGCCATGTGCCGACTGCATAGATAGGCCTGTGCTTGCTCCCCCTAGGACAGAGATTCCCTTTTCTTCCATTGGAATGAGGGGTGGGGAGATTTGATGGTATTCTGTACAGGTTGGATGTTAATCTGATGTGGTGCTCTTGGAAAAGCTTGCCTGAGTTCGGCGCTTTCTCAGCACATGGTGTGTGCTGCCCCTTCAAGCTGCAGAAACCCCAGAAGGTAAGTGCTAACTGCAACCCCCATTTACTGGTGAGCAGAGGTCAGGTGATCTGCAGCCAGCCAAGCAGCTGCTAAGTGGCCAACAGGCTGGATCTGCATCTCACTTGCAGAGGCCCTGCCTGGCTGCTGGGACTGCCCTGAGACTCCCTCCTCCTCCTCCTCTTCCCTCCACAGCTCTCCCAGCTTCTATCCACAGCTGTGCTCCAGGTGGGGAACACCTATGGCTGCACCAGGGTGCAACTACTCAGACTCCAGCGTGCAGAAAGGCCCCGGCTCCATGCTGTTTCCATATCCCAGCCCAAGCTCGTCTAGAGCTTCAGCAAATCCAAGCTTCCCTGAATTCCCTGCAAGACTAAACCAAGCCCTACAACCCCCACTACACTGGTTAGCTGCCAGTCCGAGCCCCTGCTGCCTCCTGGGCCCCTGTCTGTACAGTTCTGGAGTCCTACAAGAATGCTGAGATCGTAAGCCGACTCTCACCCAAAGAGGTAAACAACCAGGGACCTCCAGGGGTGGAGAACATACCCAGACAGGTTCTGCTGCCTGTAGGCTTCATGTCCTTCCCCTACAACACGCCATGCTTGCCAGGCTGGAAGAGGGGCTCCAGAAACTTGGGAAACCTGGGCCTGTAGCTGGCATGTGGAAAAGAGGCCTGGAAAAGCACCACTCCTGTCCATGAAGCCCCCACATGGAACCAGGTAATTGGGAAATACATGGGCACCAAGCCTGACGCCCTCCTCAGACCCAGGTGGGAACTGCAGCAGTGACTTGCCCCCTCTGCCTCTGGCTGTACCACTATGAGAGGGAGGAACATCCAGGTCCACACGTGAGTGGAGACACCAGGTGTGGGCAGGTTCCAGTGATTGCTGCAGCTGAACCTTCCCAAGCAGGTCCATGCAAGACCATCTCAGATGGGTGTGCACCTGGATTGGGCAAGGACACCCCTCAGAGAGTGAGGGCCACTGAGGGGGGCTGTCACAGAGTCCCCTTTTCCTGCTCCTAGAACAGGCTGGGGGAGTGTGGGGGAGTGTGGGGGAGTGTGGGGGAGTGTGGGGGAGGTTGGGGGAGGTTGGGGAAGTGTGGGGGAGTGTGGGGGAGGTTGGGGGAGGTTGGGGGAGGTTGGGGAAGTGTGGGGGAGTGTGGGGGAGGTTGGGGGAGTGTGGGGGAGTGTGGGGGAGTGTGGGGAAGTGTGGGGGAGGAGTGTGGGGGAGTGTGGGGGAGTGTGGGGGAGTGTGGGGGAGTGTGGGGGAGGTTGGGGGAGGTTGGGGGAGGTTGGGGAAGTGTGGGGGAGGTTGGGGGAGTGTGGGGGAGGTTGGGGGAGTGTGGGGAACCTCTCCCACCTCCCAGCTGCTTCCAGGAGCCACTTCTTTCGAGATGAGACACTCTGCTGCCTGTCTGTTCCCATTTGGCTGCAATAGACCATTGACAACATTCAGAGAACAAGAAGGGGCCTCACCTGTTTTCCCTGACACGTCGGAGGCAGATGGACATTCCCAGGGGACCTGGGGTAGAACCTGTTCATCTGCCCACCCCCAGGCTGTGCTGGCTTCATCTTATCTGTGTGATGGTGGCGGTGGGAATTACCAAGGGGTCATCACACAGACCATGGACAAGTTCTACAAGAGCCAGGGAGAAGAGCCCTGTCCGTGCTTGCTGCCCAGCACCCAGCTCACACACACACCTCTTATTTGACAGCTTCCCCAAAGCGGGCTTTGCAGTCCAGGCTCCCCGAGAAGCTTGGGGAGGAGACTCTGCCAGTCTGAAGGGCCTATCCCTAAAAAGGTGCCACCCTCACCAGGCTCATCCTGGCAATCTTGGATTATCTTTGCTCTGAGGTTTTGGAGTGGGGGACAGGGAGACAGCAGACACTGCACATCACCCATCTTTCCAGAGAGCATCAGCCCTCCAGACTGGGGCAGGTCAGACCTCCACTTGGGCGTTTTTCTCACTGGTTGCCAGTTGGGGGAAGCAGCATTTGTGAGCACCTGCCTGTCTTCCCAGGTCCTGTTCAGAAACCCCATCTGTGCCTTTGGAGAGACTGCCCTGAGCACACAGGCCCAGCAACCACCATATACGACCCCCAGGACCTAATCCCCCTCTACATAGGGTTCAGTGCATGTTAGCAGACACTGGGCTCGATTCCTGCCTAGTCCCTGCCAGATACCCCATGCCCACCTCGTGAAGAGAATGAGGCCACACAAACACACCCAGACCGTCTTGGTGATGGAGTGCCTGGGGTCCCACTTGCCCACCCTTCATTGCTGGTTCAGAGCCAGCTGTCTGACCACATTCCTACCCCGAGATGGGACTTTGGGGACATTGTCCACCAGGGTCGCTGAGCCCTTTTAAAGTTCCAGACACATGGCCAACTGGTCCCCTAAAAGTTTGGTACATGGGATAAGCCAAGGCTTTTCTTCAGGAACAGGCTTTCCACCACGTCGCTGCCCAAGGCCCAGGGCATCCCCAAGTTCATGTGGCGCCTGCCTGCCATGTCCACAGCCCATGCCGAGCCCTCCTAGAGCCACTGGAATGCTTGTTCCTGGGCATGTGATGAACCCAGACAGCTTCCGCCTTGCAGGACAACTGTGCACATCTGGCAGCAGTAGCCAGAGGGCCCATAGAAGTTGGAGGTGAAACCAGATGCTGTGAGAATACTTTATTAGGCAAAACCGCATACTATAAAAATGCTTTAAAATGCAGCAGGAGATGTGAAGACACAAATGAACGAGCGCATAGTGACACATGGCTGTCAGAACACAGTGAAGGATCCACACTGCTTCCCCCCTTTACCTAGAAAAGGAGAGTTCTAGGCCACCTCCTCCTCCTCATACTCCTCCTCCCTCGGCCGTGGCATCCTGATATTGCTGATATTCAGACACCAAGTCGTTCATGTTGCTCTCGGCCTCAGTGAATTCCATCTCATCCATGCCCTCGCCCGTGTACCAGTGGAGGAAGGCCTTGCGCCTGAACGTTGCTGTAAACTGCTCTGAGACCCGCTTGAGTTCCTGGACGGCTGTGTTGTTCCCAGTGAAGGTGACTGACATTTTTAGCCCCCAGGGTGGGATGTCACAGACGGCTGTTTTTACGTTGTTGGGGAACCAGTCAGCAAAGTAGCTGCTGTTCTTATCTTGAATGTTGAACATCTGTTCATCCACCTCCCTCATGGGCATGCGACCCTGGAAAATGGCAGCCGCCGTTAGGTAGCGGCCGTGACGGGGGTCACGGGCAGCCATCATGTTCTTAGCATCAAACATCTGCTGGGTGAGCTCAGCCACAGTCAAGGCCCGGTACTGCTGGCTGCCCCGGCTGGTCAGTGGGGCAAAGCCGGGCATGAAGAAATGCAGCCGGGGAAACGGGACCATGTTCATGGCCAGCTTCCGCAGGTCAGCATTCAGCTGGTCGGGGAAGCACAGGCACGTGGTGACCCCACTCATGGTAGCAGACACCAGGTGGTTCAGGTCACCATAGGTGGGTGTGGGCAGTTTTAGGGTCCTGGAACATATGTCATATAGCGCTTCGTTATCTATGCAGAAGGTCTCATCTGCGTTTTCTATGAGCTGGTGGACTGAGAGGGTGGCGTTGTAGGGCTCCACCACGGTGTCTGACACCTTGGGCAAGAGCAGGATGCTCAATGTGTTTATAATCCTGTCTGGGTACTCCTCCCAGATCTTACTAATGAGAAGGGTACCCATCCCAGACCCAGTCCCCCCACCCAGGGAGTGGGTCAGCTGGAAACCCTGCAGGCAGTCACAGCTCTCAGCCTCCTTTCTGACAACGTCCATCACTGACTCCGTCAGCTCCGCGCCTTCGGTGTAGCGTCCCTTGGCCCAGTTGTTTCCGGCCCCACACTGACCTGTAAGACAGCACAGCCGGTCACTCGACGGCCAGGTATACGGTCATCAGTGGTCACCACCATAATGCAGAAAGGGCCAAGTGTCACGTGTGAGGTGAGAGCACCATTCGCCCTGCAGGTGGAGCAGATGAAACCCCCTCCCCCGGAGTTACAGGACAGCAGCTTCCCCTCTCTTAGGAATTAAGTCAGGAGTCAAACCTGAGAGGGGCTAACCTCACTGCAGGTGGAACAAATGAAAACCCCTCCCCCGGAGTTACAGGACAGCAGCTTCCCCCGTTAGGAATTAAGACAGGAGTCAAACCTGAGACGGGCTCACAGAACTCGCTGCAGGTGGAACAAATGAAACCCCCTCCCCAGGAGTTACAGGACAGCAGCTTCCCCTGTTAGGAATTAAGTCAGGAGTCGAACCTGAGACGGGTTCACAGACCTCGCTGCAGGTGGCCCATTCTCAGGGAAGGCAGTAGCCACGGCCCCAGCTCAGGTCCTTGCAGGGAGTTTACATCAGTAGCTCCTCACCTTGAGGAGACACGCGGGCCTTCCTCCCGAAGCCCGTTTAGGAGGCAGATGGAGCGACTCGACTCGGAGGACAGGAGGGTGTTCAGGGGCCCTGGCGCCACAGTTCCCACAGGATGACCTTGGAGCGTTCCTGGATTTCGAGCTGCCCTGGCTAAGGAGCCGCACCCCAGTCCTCGCCCGCAGCTCACGGGAAATGAAGTTGTCTGGCCTGAAGACCTGCCCGAAGGGCCCCGAGCGCACAGAGTCCATGGTGCCCGGCTCCAGATCCACGAGCACAGCGCGGGACACGTACCTGCCACCTGCGTGGGGCGGGAGGGCATGAGCGAGGGGAGGGCCGCGTTCCCAGGAGGGCGGTGGGGGAAGGACGGGGGTCGCACCGCTGGCCTCGTGGTGGTGCACGTTGATGCGCTCCAGCTGCAGGTGGCTGTCCCCGTGGTAGGTGCCAGCGGAGTCGATGGCATGTTCATCAGAGATCACCTCCCAGAACTGCGGAGACGGGAGGGGCCAGACAGGCCGGGGCTGAGTCACGGAGGCGCCCCAGCCGCTCTCCCACCCCCATCCGCACCCCCATCCCCAGGCCGCCCTGTCCCTGGGGTCCACCCCCGCCGCCTCGCCAGCCACCCGGTTCCACCGTCCCCGGCAGGGAGCCCAGGGGCCGCAATGCAGGGGCACCGCCCCCGCCGCTGCCAACATCTTCCCCGGCCACCCGGCAGGCCCGGGCTGGGCCCTCAGAGCCCCGGCTGCCAACCTTGGCGCCGATCTGGTTCCCGCACTGCCCGGTCTGCGTGAGCACAAGCTCCCTCGTGGCCAAGGCAGGATTAGGGCGGCAGGAGAAGCGCGAGAAGGAGGAGCAGACGCACAGCGACCCAGCCCGGCCTCCGCCAACGCTTAAACAGCCCCGCGCCCACCTCCCTCAGCCTAGGATTGGGCTCCCAGAATAAGCAACAGCTTTACTTCCACACAGGTGCACCCACCTGTGACTCCCCTGGCGTTGAACGTCTGTTGGAGAACTCAGGTGTCCTTGCGTGGTCCCTTCCACGTTGGGGAAAGCTGCTCAGCTGGAGAACTTCCTCCCACGTCTTTAGTAAGACTAAATCCCTAGCTGAGCTGAAACTGAATTTTCCTCCCATGTGGGAGGGGAAGACGCTTGTTTCCATATGCACGGAGTGCCTTTGCACCTGTCCTAGATTGATGACATATTTTTGTAATTGATGAATCTTTTCATCTATTAGGAGATCTGTCGTTAGGAAAGGCCTTCCACATGTTAACAGGACTTAATTATACGTTTTACTTTGGAGCAGTTCAAATCTGCAGTAAGCTATGGGTGTTAGAGATAGTCAGGCCTCTGATTTAGCTAGAGTCTTCTTTAGGATTAGCCCTTTCACCTTTCCAGAGGACTGCGGTCTCCACACAGAGTGAAGGTAATATTGGATTCTTAAAGCTGAGGATAGGTGTTGGGTTACGCCTGCTGTGAAAGATGGGCCATTGTCACTTTGCAGGCTTTTAGATTACCCAAACTGAGGAGTTATTTCTTCTGGTAAACATTTTTCAGATGGGGTGGGGAATGCCTCGATCTAACCAGTGAAGGTATCAGTAAGCATTAGCAAATATTTGAATCTCTTGCAGAAAGTCATTGGGGTACATTAGAGTTGCCAGTTCTCACCTGGATAGGTTCCTTAATTTTGGACAGGTTTAACTGGAGGAGAAAATTGCTGGCCGTTTGGGTCATGTCAGGCACAGAGCTCACAGTGCTGAGTCACCTGTTTTAGTGTCTTGAAAAGATTTACCCCTATAAACAAGTGAGACATTAACAGAAACAAAGAATCCCTTCTAGGGTGAAAAGAATCATGAAAGTGCTGAGTTATACTCTTGTGATTGGTACTTGGCATTAGTAATTTATTACCATCATTCAGCCAGCCCGAGGGGCCCTGGACTGAAATGCAATCCCTGGCCCATTTCTGTTCTTCTTCAGAGTGTTCCGGCCCAGTTCTATGTATGCTGACCAGCACGCCCATAAGCTTCATTGGCCCTTTCAGTGCAGGGGCCTTGGCTGCAGCTACAAGGTCATTTCCTTTTACATGGTCAGTCTCTCTTTTGATGTCCTCTGCAATTAATTATAGTCACTTTCTGGCAGCAAAGCAGTATTCTAACAAGCTCAAAATCTGAATGATGTTGTATGGAAAAGCCCTTGGGGTCAGGAGTCCCCACCCATTCCAAATTGCAGCATAAGCATGAAGCACTAAAAAATCATACTTGGAATCAGTGTAAATGTTAACTTTTAAATCCTTTCCAACTGCAGGGGCCTAGTAAGTTCAATTAACTCAGCTTTTTGAGCTGAGGTCGAGGCCAGCAAGGCTTGTGCCTTGATTCTCTTGTGCTGACTACTAATAGCATATCTAGACCTCCTGTTTTCCTGATGCATAAAACAACTTGCATCTGTTAACCACTCTGCCTTGGGATGGTCAAGGAGCTCATCTCTCCTACGTCTGGCCTGCTAGATCAATTTGTTTCATAACCTGTGACATGCTTTGGCTGTGCCCCCAGTCAAGTCTTATCTTGAATTGTAGCTCCCATAATTCCCATATATCGTGGGAGGGACCCAGTGGGAGGTAATTGAATCAGGGGATGGGTCTTTCCCATGCTGTTCTCGTGACAGTGAATAAGCCTCATGAGATCTGATAGTTTATTTATTTATTTATTTTTGATACATAGTCTTGCTCTGTTGCTCAGGCTGGAGTGCATTATCGTGATCTTGGCTCACTGCAAACTCTGACTCCTGGGTTCAAGCGATTCTCCTGTCTCAGCTTCCCGAGTAGCTGGGATTACAGGTGCCCACAACCATGCCTGTTTAATTTTTGCACTTTTAGTATAGACAGGGTTTCACCATGTTGGCCAGGCTGGCCTCCATCTCCTCACCTCAGGTCATCCACTGCCTTGGCCTCCCAAAGTGCTGGATTACAGCTGATGGTTTTATAAAGGGGAGTTTCCCTACACAAGCTCTTTTGCCTGCTGCCACGTAAGAGATGTGACTTTGTTCCTCACCTGCCTTCTGCCATGAGTGTGAGGCCTCTCCGACCATGTGGAACTGTGAGTCAATTAAACCTCTTTTCTTTATAAATTTCCCAGCCTCAGATATGTCTTTATTAGCAGCGTGAGAACAGACTAATACAGCCTGTATGCCAGAAAGGCTGGGAGCACCTGTGGACTCTGACAGCTAAGTAGCTGGGTTTGTGGTTTGGCAGGCTTTAAGGGTTGTGTCTGGAGGGTCTAGCAATAAGGCCTGACACTTTCATAAATGTTCTCCTATTATCCACTGCTGCCCTTTAGCTTCCAGGACCACCTTCCCTTGGTGTGGGGTCAAAAACCTGTAGGTGCTGTTCTAATGTTAGTTTATTAGCTTTGCCTGCTAGAAAAGTGGTAGCAGCAATAGCTCTAAGACATCAAGGCCACCCTGAGGCCGCCTGGTCTATCTGCTTAGAAAATTAGGCTACTGGCCTTGGAATGTCCCCCAGTTTTGAGACAAGATTACCCAAGGCCTATGCCTTGCTTTTTGGTCACATAAAGAAAAAATGGTTCATCCAACTTGGGGACTCCCATGGCTGCAGCAGAGCTCAATTTCTCCTTGAGAGTATTGAAGGTTTGCTTGCAGTTCTCATTACGTTCTAGGAGCTCTAAATCTTTCCCTTTAGTGTATCATATAAAGGCTTGGCTACATGTCCAAATCTGGGCAACCATAAGCAGCAGTACCCAGCCATCTCCTAAAAGAGCCCACAGTCATTTGTTGGACTGGGACCCTTCGGTGACTAAAATAACTTTTTTATCTTCTAGGGTTGTTGATCAGTTCCAGTGGTTAAGACAGATTCCAAATATTTAAGTCTTTGAGTCAAAATCTGAGCCCTGTATGGGGATACCGTATATCTGCAACTTCCCAGGAAACTTACCAACTTAACAGTATTATTATTTGAGTCTTCTTTAGTTGGGCTAGCAATGAGCAAGTCACCTACATACTGAATAATTGTGTCCCTTTCCAGTTGTAGATTTCTTAAGTCCTTAGCTAGAGCATTTTCAAATAAGTGGGGGCTATCCCAGAACCCTTCAGAGACGACTGTCCAGGTTAGTTTTGAGGCTGAATGTGTATCTGGATTAGTCCATTCAAAGGCAAACATATTGTGAATCTGGATGCATTGAGATGCAGAAAAATGCGTCTTTCAGATTTAAGAATGTAAACCAGCTTGCATCCCCTGGGACTTGGTAAGTATTGGGGACAATGAGGTGTATGGAGACAACTGCATTTCTTAGCGCTCTAAGGGTTCTGACAAATCTGTACTTGCCATTAGGCTTTTTATCTGGTAACATGCGAGTATTGTAAGGAGACTCTCATGGGCTTCATAACTCATATGGCAAGAATTTGGCAATAAGGGGTTGAATTTCCCCTCATGCTTCTTGCCTTAAAATGTATTGTCTCTTCTGAGGGCGAGGAGCACTAGGCTGAAGTTGGATTTGAATCGGGGAGGTGTTTAGTGCATTTCCCAGAGCCTGTGTGGCCCAAACTTCAAGATTTACTTGAGACAATACCTCAGGTGGTAAATGTGACAGCTCATTCTTAACTTCTTTTTTTTCCCCTGAGGGGTCAGGAACAAAAGTAACACTTTCTATGATTTATGATCTGTGAAGGTGACCATGACTTGGTCTCCTGAGTCAATAAACTTCTCCCCAGTAAGAGATCAGGCATTCAGACCGTACTAAAAAGGTAGGTGAGAAGCCCAGAGGCCCTGGAGGACAACTTAGAAGATACAAAAAGCAGTTATTTTGGGCTTGTCCATCATGAAGAGACAGGAGCCCACTGTATTGAATCAGGACAGAGTCATCTGCTCCCACACCTAATAAGAAGTTAATACTCCTACCTGCCACTACAAGAGTCACCTGAGGCTTCTCCATCTCTGGATACCTAATAGTCCAATGGGAGTGGAGGCAGGAAGTAACAGGCCCTCCCACTTTCAAGTCTGCTGGGCTCTGAGGTTGGCTCCCTTGAAAGCACAGTGCATTTCCTTCAGCAGTGGCTGACCTTCTTACAGAAGGCACATTGATTTATATCCACGACACAGTGGCCCAGAGGCACAGACTGGGACTTTCACCTTCTCACTTCCTCTGTGAGGGCCAGGGTTAACGGGCTGCCTCTGAAGTGGTGGAGAGCACAAGGCTGCAGCTAGAAGCTGGGCCTTTTGGGACATTTGGTTTATTTTATGTTTTCTCTGCCCTATTCCTGTGATGGAAAACTGCAAAATCCAAATCTAAAATCTGATCCATGGGAGTCTGGAAGCCTAAGGCTGCTTTTGGCGGCTTCCTGCAGATATCAGAAGCAGGCTGGGCTATAAAGTAAACTCCTAGCAATGCCTATCCCTTCTTGGAGTAAGGGTCAGTGTTAGTGTATTTTCTCAAGGTCTAAATTATCCACCCTTGTAATAAGGCTAGGTTTTCATCTTTTCCGAGTAATTTTCCAGACTTTATAAAAATTAAAAAGCTTTATCACAATTTTTTTTATTCCTTCAAGGAGTCAAATGATCATAATTTTTTCTCTCTATATCCCACTTTCTTCCTAATTCATTCATCTTTTCTAGATTCTAGTTCTCTTTTGAGTCCTAATCAGGCACTTCTGTGCCTCCCACTTGATAGGTGTCATGTCCCTGGTTGCAGGCTGCCACCCTATTAGCATGTGCTCTACCACTCCCATAACACACTGCTTTTCTTTTTTCTTTTTTTTTTAATTATACTTTAAGTTTTAGGGTACATGTGCACCACGTGCAGGTTAGTTACATATGTATACATGTGCCATGTTGGTGTGCTGCACCCATTAACTCGTCATTTAACATTAGGTATATCTCCTAATGCTATCCCTCCCCCCTCCCCCCACCCCACAACAGGCCCCGGTGTGTGATGTTCCCCTTCCTGTGTCCGTGTGTTCTCACTGTTCAATTCCCACCTATGAGTGAGAACATGCTGTGTTTGGTTTTTTGTCCTTGTAATTGTTTGCTGAGAATGATGGTTTCCAGCTTCATCCATGTCCCTACAAAGAACATCAACTCATCCTTTTTTATGGCTGCATAGTATTCCATGGTATATATGTACCATATTTTCTTAAACCAGTCTATCATTGATGGACACTTGGGTTGGTTTGAAGTCTTTGCTATTGTGAATAGTGCCACAATAAACATACGTGTGCATGTGTCTTTATAGCAGCATGTTTTATAATCCTTTGGGCATATACCCAGTAATAGGATGCCTGGGTCAAATGGTATTTCTAGTTCTAGATCCCTGAGGAATCACCACACTGTCTTCCACAATGGTTGAACTAAATTACACTCCCACCAACAGTGTAAAAGCGTTCCTATTTCTCCACATCCTCTCCAGCACCTGTTGTTTCCTGACTTTTTAATGATTGCCATTCTAACTGGTGTAAGATGGTATCTCATTGTGGTTTTGATTTGCATTTCTCTGATGGCCAGTGATGGTGAGCATTTTTTCATGTGTCTGTTGGCTGCATAAATGTCTTCTTTTGAGAAGTGTCTGTTCATATCCTTTGCCCACTTTTTGATGGGGTTATTTGTTGTTTTCTGGTAAATTTGTTTGAGTTCATTATAGATTCTGGATATTAGCCCTTTGTCAGATGAGTAGGTTGCAAAAATTTTCTCCCACACTGTAGGTTGCCTGTTCACTCTGACAGTAGTTTCTTTTGCTGTGCAGAAGCTCTTTAGTTTAATTAGATCCCATTTGTCAATTTTGGCTTTGCTTGCCATTGCTTTTGGTGTTTTAGACATGAAGTCCTTGCCCATGCCTATGTCCTGAATGGTATTGCCTAGGTTTTCTTCTAGGGTTTTTATGGTTTTAGGTCTAACATTTAAGTCTTTAATCCATCTTGAATTAATTTTTGTGTAAGGTGTAGGGAAGGGATCCAGTTTCAGCTTTCTACATATGTCTGGCCAGTTTTCCCAGCACCATTTATTAAATAGGGAATCTTTTCCCCATTTCTTGTTTTTTGTCAGGTTTGTCAAAGATCAGATAGTTGTAGATATGTGGCGTTATTTCTGAGGGCTCTGTTCTGTTCCATTGGTCTACATCTCTGTTTTGGTATCAGCACCATGCCGTTTTGGTTACTGTAGCCTTATAGTATAGTTTGAAGTCAGGTAGCATGATGCCTCCAGCTTTGTTCTTTTGGCTTAGGATTGACTTGGCGATGCAGGTTCTTTTTTGGTTCCATATGAACTTTAAAGTAGCTTTTTCCAATTTTGTGAAGAAAGTCATCGGTAGCTTGATAGAGATAGCATTGAATCTATAAATTACCTTGGGCAGTATGGCCATTTTCACAATATTGGTTCTTCCTACCCATGAGCATGGAATGTTCTTCCATTTGTTTGTATCCTCTTTTATTTCATTGAGCAGTGGTTTGTAGTTCTCCTTGAAGAGGTCCTTCACATCCCTTTTAAGTTGGATTCCTAGGTATTTTATCAACCAAAGAAAGTCCAGGACCAGATGGATTCACAGCCTAATTCTACCAGAGGTACAAGGAGGAGCTGGTACCATTCCTTCTGAAACTATTCCAATCAATAGAAAAAGAGGGAACCCTCCCTAACTCATTTTATGAGGCCAGCATCATCGTGATACCAAAGCCTGGCAGAGACACAACAAAAAAAGAGAATTTTAGACCAATATCTCTGATGAACATCAATGCAGAAATCCTCAATAAAGTACTGGCAAACCGAATCCAGCACCACATCAAAAAGCTTATCCACCATGATCAAGTGGGCTTCATCCCTGGGATGCAAGGCTGGCTCAACATATGCAAATCAATAAATGTAATCCAGCATATAAACAGAACCAACGACAAAAACCACATGATTATCTCAATAGATGCAGAAAAGGCCTTTGACAAAATTCAACAAACCTTCATGCTAAAAACTCTCAAAAAATTAGGTATTGATGGGACGTATCTCAAAATAATAAGAGCTATCTATGACAAACCCACAGTCAATATCATACTGAATGGGCAAAAACTGGAAGCATTCCCTTTGAAAACCGGCACAAGACAGGGATGCCCTCTCTCACCACTCCTATTCAACATAGTGTTGGAAGTTCTGACCAAGGCATTCAGGAAGGAGAAGGAAATAAAGGATATTCAATCAGGAAAAGAGGAAGTCTAATTTTCCCTGTTTGCAGATGACATGATTGTATATCTAGAAACCCCATCATCTCAGCCCAAAATCTCCTTAAGCTGATAAGCAACTTCAGCAAAGTCTCAGGATACAAAATCAATGTGCAAATATCACAAGCATTCTTATACACCAATAACAGACAAACAGAGAGCCAAATCATGAGTGAACTCCCATTCACAACTGCTTCAAAGAGAATAACACACTGCCTTTCTGCCATGCAGCAGGAAAACATAAACATATGCAAGTCCTGCCTGGCCAGATCGTAAACAAGGTTAGCCTCTTAAATTTGTCTACAAATTTTCAGGCACCTCTGAAAACTGTTTTAGCTTTTCCTTGTATATGGCTAGTTCAGACATAGAAAAGGGTACATATACCTATATAGTGTCCTTTTTATCATCTGTCACTTCCCAGAGAGGGCAAACATTCAAGTTTGCCAGCTGATAAGAGGCCCCACTGCATGTTGTTCTGGTGAAGCTCACGTGTTCCGACAGTGGGGTGTGTACTTAAGACAGGACTCGAAGGGCAGGGAGAAGACGATGACCAGACACTAGATAACCCTGGAAAACTAGAAGAAATTAATAACATGTTGCACACCTCACCAGAACTGGAAGGAGTCTGACTGTGTTCTCATGGGGTTGTCGGACTGGCAGGGGGAGTTCAGCCCCAGCTAAGAAAAGCCTAATATTAAGAGGCACTTGCATTAAAAGGGTAATCAATTACGTGCCATCCCTATTTTGTCTTTTCCTCCATCAAACATATAGAAGCCCATTTTAATTTTTTATCCTGACCAAGCATCAGAGAAGCCTATATGTAAAGTATTTCCTCCCATTTAGTTTCTCTTCTATAAAACAAATTAAGCTGCAAAAAAAGGAGTCAGACTGAACAGGGGAAATGGGAAGGCTGTAACTTGTATATTGTAATGTACTAGTCCATTTTCACACTGCTATGACAAAACTGATAAAACTCTGTCAGGAAAAAAGTGGGATACTGGGTTTAGAAAGTAGGGTCCAGCTGCCCTATACCAGCTCATCAAAGATGGCGTTATGGTTAAGAAATGAGAGAAAACTGTTAAGAAAAAGTCCCATGTTCTCCATCTTGAGGCTAATTGTTTGCAGAGGGTTGTCATAAAAGAGGCTGTCACTAAACAGGTATATCTGATCTTATCATGTAGGGCTGTTAAATACCACATTTCAACTTCTAGTCATAATGATGGAGAGGTTATTGCTGATTTTTTTTCTGATAATTAAGGTACAAAAATACTAGGTTCCAAGACATCTCTCTTTTTTCAGTGTCACTTGGACCAGTGGCAAATTAAACAAGCAATCAGCTAAAAGTCAGAGGATCGCTGAGGAAAGCAAAAGCTAAACTGTTTGGGGCCTCTTTCCTGGGGCAGCCTCCAGGCTACTACAAAACAGAGGAGGTGAGCAGAAAGGTGACAAGATACAGAGCACTCAGGTGAGGGACAGAGAGCACAAGGTGGACAGTCCAAAAAGAGAAAGTGGCAAACATCTTGTTTAGCCAAATCCATTCTTCTCAATATTCCCAAGGGCCTCTAACCCTGTGAGCTTGGCCTCTAATCTGAGTATGATGCCCCCGGGCCTCTAATTTTTGGGGCTGAGTGTCTCACCCTAACATTATGCCCTAGGGCCTCTTGCTTAAGTAGTAGTGGATCATCATTCTTGCCCACCAGAATGGCTTCACGACTCTAAAAGACGGCCCACTTGCCAGGTGTCAGCTGACTGATTCTGTGTGGATTGTTTTCCTTGGAGTGGGGGTCTTGTCTTGGTGTCCCTTCATGGTGTTGCTGAAAGATGTTGCTGGAAAAGAGGGTCCTGATACAGACCACAAAGTAGGATTCTTAGATCTTGTGCAGGAAAAAAATTGAGGTGAGTCAGAGAGCACAGTGAAAGAAGCAAGTTTACTAGAAATGACTCCATTAGAGTTGGACACCCTCAGCAAACAAGAGCAGGAATGCATTGTCTTTTGTTAGTGTCTCTTCTTATAAGTAACTATAAAGACAAAGAGTTATAATTAAACTTGGAAGGTGCAAATGTACTCACTAAAGTCGGGGCTATTGGTTTTAACAATGACCATTAACCCATTGACCTAAGCAAGCTCATTAATATTATCCTTACAAAAAAAATGCTGCACTCCTAGGACATGTATACGTTTTTCAGGCTTGGTGGAATATGTCTTGTATGACCACAAATATTCTCCAGTTATAATTTGTGGCCAGCTAAAAAATGTGGCTATTTTCAGACCATGAGCATTAATCTTCTAGATGCCTTGTGAGTACCTAGCTACTCATATTAAGATAGAGTATTCTAGTCATGTTTACTAAACTAGAAGCTTGTTATTCATGAGTTCCTCTAACACAATAAGTCTACTGCTCAAGGAGAAAATGTATTTCTCAGGAATTCTGTGCATTTTGTTTGATGGAATTTGGTATGTTTACCAAAATGGCAGAAAAGAGTGAAATTAGTCCTCAAAGATTTCTCAAGATTGGATATAAAGTAAGCAAAATGATTATAGGTAATATGCAAGTTGATACAGTTGATATTCAAGAGAAATTTGAAACACAATGACATTTTTATTTTTACTTATTTATTATTATTATTATTTTGAGACAGAGTCTTCTCTGTTGCCCAGGGTGGATTGTAGTGTACCATCCTGGCTCACTGAAACCTCCACCTCCCGGGTTCAAGCAATTCTCCTGCCTCAGCTTCCCAAGTAGCTGCGATTACAGGCATGCATCAACACACCCAGCTAATTTTTGTATCTTTAGTAGAGATGGGATTTCACTCTGTTGGCTGGGCTTGTCTCAAACCCCTGACAACAGGCGATCTGCCCACCTGGGCCTCCCAAATTGCTGGGATTACAGGCATGAGCCACCACTCCCAGCCACAATGAGATTTTTAAATAATTCTAACTGATTTCCTGCTGTTGAGCAGGGAGCTGAGCAAATTCAACAGATCATGGGCCTAAAGTAGGAGAAGACTAAGGACAAACTCTAGAATGCATGTGATTAAATTAATTACAATTGAAACCAAATCAAATTTAATAAGGCTGTACCTCTTAGTTTCAAGATGTTTCCCCTCACTTTGAAATGTGGTGTTATTCAGTGGAAAATAACAGGGTTCCCTGCAGGGATTGATTGACTGAGAGCTATGGCTCAGGATTAAAAATCCTTTTTTCCACTTATAAATGAAAAATAAATTTTGTCATAAAGTAGGCTGTCACTAAACAGGCATATCTGATCTTATCATGTAGGGTTGTTAAATACCACATTTCAACTTCTAGTCATAATGATGGAGAGGTTATTGCTATAAACTAAACTAAAAATAAATAAACTAAAAATAAATTTCTAAGCCCCTATTGACTAAATGGACACCTCTTCTTGGATAAGGACATTCCAAAGTTAACATGAAAAGCTAGTTCAAGCCATGGGTCACACAGGCCTCATTATACTCTCCTCCCTTTGGTTTTAATTTTGATTTCAATTTTTAATTTATTTTTGTGGGTACATAGTTGGTGTATATATTTATGGGGATACATGACATACTTTGATACAGGCATGCAATGAGTAATGCATAATAAAAAAATGGGGTGTCCATCCCCTCAAGCATGTATAGCTTGTGTTATAAACAATCCAATTATACTTTTAGTTTTTTAAAATGTATAGTTAAATTATTTTTGACTATAGTCACCCTGTTGTGCTATCAAATGCTGTCTTATTCATTCTTTCTAACAATTTTTTGTACCCATTTCACATCCCCACTAACACCCTGTTCCCTCACTGCCCTTCCCAGCCTCTGGTAACCATCCTTATACTCTCTATCTCTATGACACCAATTGTTTCGAATTTTAGCACACACAAATAAGTGAGAACATGTGACATTTGTCTTTCTGTGCCTGACTTATTTCACTTAACATAAAGACTTTCAGTTCCATTTATGTTATTGCAAATGGCAGACTCTCATTCTTTCTTATAGCTGAATAGTACTCCACCGTGTATATGTACCATATTTTCTCTATCCAGTCAGCTGTTGAGGGACATTTAAGTTCCTTCCAAATCTTGGCTATTATAAACCCTGCTGTAGCAAATATGAGAGTGCCAATATGTCTTTGATCTACCAATTTTATTTCTTTTAGGCATATACTGAGCAGTGGGATTGCTAGACCTTATAGTAGCTCTATTTTTAGTTATATCAGGAACATCCAAACTGTCCTTAATTGTGCTCCCAACAACAGTGTACAAGGGTTCCCTTCACTCCACATACTCACCAGCATTGGTTTTTGACTGACTTCTGGATAAAAGCCACCTTAACTGGGGTGAAATGATATCTCATTTTGGGTTTGATTTGCATTTCTATGATGATCAGTAATGTGTAGCACCTTTTCATTTGCCTGCTTGACATTTGTATGTCTTCTTTTCATAAATGTCTATTTAAATTTTTTGTCCATTCTTTAATTGGATTATTATATTTTTATAGAATTTTTTGAACTCAATATATTGTAGTGTATTAGTCTGTTTCAGCACTGCTATAAAAAAATACTCGGCCGGGCGCGGTGGCTCACGCCTGTAATCCCAGCACTTTGGGAGGCCGAGGCGGGCGGATCACGAGGTCAGGAGATCGAGACCATCCCGGCTAAAAACGGTGAAACCCCGTCTCTACTAAAAATACAAAAATTAGCCGGGCGTAGTGGCGGGCGCCTGTAGTCCCAGCTACTTGGGAGGCTGAGGCAGGAGAATGGCGTGAACCCGGGAGGCGGAGCTTGCAGTGAGCCGAGATCCCGCCACTGCACTCCAGCCTGGGCGACAGAGCGAGACTCCGTCTCAAAAAAAAAAAAAAAAAAAAAAAAAATACTCAAGACTGGGTTATCTATTTATTTAACGAGATGAAGTCTTGATCTGTTACCCAGGCTGAAGTGCAGTGGTGCAATCTCGGCTCACTGCAAACTCCACCTCCTGGTTCAAGCAATTCTCTGTCTCAGCCTCCTGAGTAGCTGGGATTACAGGCACCTGCCACCATGCCTGGCTAATTTTTGTATTTTTAGTAGAGACAGGGTTTCACCATCTTGGCCAGGCTGGTCTTGAACTCCTGACCTCGTGATCCACCCCCCACTTGGCCTCCCAAAGTGGTGAGATTACAGGCATGAACCACTGCACCTGGCAAGACTGAGTAATTTATAAAGGAAATGGGTTTAATTGACTCACAGTTCCACATGGCTTGGCAGGCTTCAGGAAACTTACAATCATGGCAGATGGGGAAGCAGTCACCTCTTACATGACAGCAGGCGAGACAGCATGTATGTGAAGCAAAGGGGGAAGAGTCCCTTATAAAACCATCAGATCTCATGAGAACTCACTCACTATCAGAAGAACAGCCTGGGGGAAACCACCCCCATGATCCAATCACCTTCTGCCGGGTCTCTCCCCCAAAACCTGGGAATTACAATTCAATATGAGATTTGGGTGGGGACACAAAGCCTAACCATATCATGTAGCTATTAATTGCCTTTCAGATGGATAACTTACAAATATTTTCTCCCATTCTGTGGATTTTCTCTTCACTTTGTTTATTGTTTCCTTCACTTTAAAAAGGCTTTCTGATTTGCTGTAATCCCATTTGCCCGTGTTTGTTTTGGTTGTCTGTGCTTATGGGGCACTATTTAAGAAATTTTTGCCCAAACCAATGCCCTAAAGGGTTTCCCCAATGTTTTATTGTAAAAATGTGATAGTTTGAGATGTTAGGTTTAAGTCTTTAATTCATTTTAATTTGATTTTTTATGTGGCAAGAAATAGGGTTCTAGTTTTATTCTTCTGCCTATGACCTGCCACTTTTCCCAGCCCTATTTATTACAAAAACTGTCTTATTTTTTGTTGTATATTCTTGGCACTTTTGTTGAAAATAAGTTTAGCTTAGCTGTATGAGTTTGTTTCTAAGGTCTCTATTTTGTTCCATTTGGCTTTATGTCTGTTTTTATGCTAGTGTCATGCTGTTTTAATTACTATAACTTAGTAGTATAATTTAAAACCAGGTAATGGAATTCCTCCAGTTTTGTTTTATATACTCAGCACAGCTTTGACTATTATGGTGTTTTGTGACAGTTCCATATAAATTTCAGAATTTTTTTTCTGTTTCTGTGAGGAATGTCTTTTTTTTTTTTTTTTTTTTTAGATGGCATCTCGCTCTGTCACCTAGACTGGAGTGCAGTGATGCAATCTCGGCTTACTGCAACCTCTGCCTCCTGGGCTCAAGCAATTACCTACCTCAGCCTCCTGAGTAGCTGGGAAGGCACCCGCCACCATGCCCAGCTAATTTTTTTGTATTTTTAGTAGAGATGGGGTTTCACAAATTTGGCCAGGCTGGTCTTGAACTCCTGACCTCATGGTCCACCCACCTCGGCCTCCCAAAGTGCTGGGATTACAGGCATGAGCCACTGCCCCTGGCCTGTTATTTTGATAGAGATGGCATGAAATGTATAGATTTCTTTGGATTGTATGGACATTTTAGAAAAATACTGATTCTTCCAATCTGTGAACATAAAAATATCTTTCCAATTTTTGGGTCCTTTTTCATTTCTTTTATCAGTGTTTTACAGTTTTAATTGTTGAGAACTTTTATTTCTTTGGTAAGTTCCCACACATTGTGTTTTATTTGTGGCTATTGCAAATAGTGTTACATTTTTGAATTCTTTTTCACTTTGTTGACTGTTGGCATATAGCATTCCTACTGATTTGTATATGTTGATTTTGTATTCTGCAAATTTACTCAAGTTATTACTTCTAATAGTTTTTTTGGTGGATGTATTAGGCCATTCTCACATTGCTATAAAAAAAAATCAGTGACCGGTTAATTTGTAAAGGAAATAGATTTAATTGGTTCATGGTTCTACAGGCTGTACAGAAAGCATAGCACTGGCTTCTGCTTCTGGGGAAGCCTCTGGCAACTGACAAGGTGAAAAATAAATCCGATGCTTGCACATCACATGGTAAGTGCGAGGGCAGAGTGTAAGTGCTACACACTTGTAGATAACCAGCTCTCGTGAAAACTTACTATTGTGGGAATGGCACCAAAGGAAATGATGCTAAACTCTTCATGGAAATCCTGCCCTCTTGATTCAATCACCTCCCCACTAGGCCCACTTCCAACATTGAGGATTACATTTCAGTATAAGATTTTGGTGGGAACACACACCCAAACTATATCATTTTGCCCTGGCCATTCCAAATCTCATATCCTTCTCATATTTCAAAATACAATCATGACTTCCCAATAATTCCCAAAGTCTTAACTCATTTCAGCCTTAACTCAAAAGTCAAAAGTCTCATCTAAGACAAAGCTAGTTTATTCCTCCTATAAGCCTGTAAAATAAAAAAACAAGTTAGGTACTTCCAAGATACAAATGGGGCAGAGGCATTGGGTAAATACTCCTATTCTAAAAGGAAGAAATCAGCCAAAAGAAAGGGGCCACAGGACCCACGAAAGTCTGAAACCCAGAAGGGCAGTTACTGAATTATAAGGCTCTAAAATAATTATTTTTGACTCTGTGTCCCATTTCCAGGGCACACTAATGCCTTGGGAAGGTTCAACCTTGTGACTTTGCATGGTTCCGCCCCCATAGCTGCTCTCATGGGCTGGCATTGTGTACCTCTGGCTGGTATTGTGTGTCTCTGGCTTTTCCAGGTGCAAGGTGCAAGCTGTAGCTAGATCTACCATTATGCGGTCTGGAGGACAGTGACCTTCTCCTCACAGATCTACTAGGCCATGCCCCAGTGGGGAGCCTGCATGGGGACTGTCACCCCACATTTCTTTTCTCCATTGTTTTAGTAGAGGTTCTCCATGAATGCTCCACCCCTGCAGCATGCTTCTGTCTGCACACCCTGGCTTGTTCACACATCCTTTGAAACAAAGGTGGAAGATCCCAAGTCTCAACTCTTGCATTTTGTAAACCCACAGGCCTAACACCACATGGAAGCTACCAAGGCTTATGGCTTGCACCCTCTGAAGCAGTGACTGGAGTTGTAACTGGATCAATTTGACCTACACCTGGAGCTGAAGCAATGGTCAGGATGCAGGGAGCCATGTTCCAAAGCTACCCAAGGCAGCAGATCCTGGGCCTGATCCCAGAAACTATTCTCTTCTTTTAGGCCTCAAGGCCTGTGATTGGGGGCTGCCTTTCAGATTTCTAAAATGCCTTCAATTCCTCTTTCCCATTGTCTTGGCTATCAACACTTGCTTTTTTTTTAGGTTATACAAATACCTCTAACAAGTCGTTGCTCCATAGCGTGCTTGAGTTCCTCTCTTATAAAATCTTTTTATTTTTTAGGCACAGGACTAGGCTGCAAAGTTTTTAAGCTTTTACACTATGCTTCCCTTGTAAGTATAAGTTACAACTTATATATTTTTTTTGCTAGATCATGTGAGCATAGGTTGTTAGAAGCAGCCAGGCAACATCTCAAATGCTTTGCTGCTTAGACATTTTTCCAACAGAAAACTTAAATCATCAATTTCAAAATCAAAGTTTTATATATCCCTAGGGCATGACAGAAATTCAGCCAGCCACTTTGCTAAGACAACATGCATGACTTTTGTTTCGGTCCTAATAAGTTTCTAATTTTATCTGAGACCTCCTCAGCTTGGCCTTCACTGTCCAGATCACTAACAGCATTTTGGTCACAGCCATTCAACCAGTCTCTAAGAAAATCTCAACTTTCCCTTATTTTTCTGTCTTCCTCTGAATCCTACAAACTCTTCCAACCTCTGCCTGTTTATCCAACTACAAAGCTAATTTCACATTTTCAGGTATTCTTATAACAATTTCTCACTCCTTGGTGCCAATTTTCTGTATTAAGCTATTTTTGCATCACTATAAGAGTGGGACTGGATAATTTATTTTTAAAAAAGGAGGTTTAAGTGGCTCATGGTTCTACAGGCTGTAGAGAAGACATAGCACTGGCATATGCTTCTGGGGTGGCCTGTAGAAGTTTACAGTCATGGCAGAAGTTGAAGCAGAATCTTGCACATCAAAGGGCAAAAAGCTGGAGCAAAAAACAGAGGGGCGAGTTGTTACACACTTTTAAATAACCAGATCTTGTAGGAACTCACTCACTATTATGAGGATAGTACCAAGTGGGACGGTGCTGAGCCATTTCTGAGTAATCCACCCCAATGGTTAAATCACCTGGCCCACCTCCAACATGGAGAATTACATTTAAATATGAGATTTGGGAGGGGACACACGTTCAAACCCTATCAGAGGAGTCTTTATGTTTTTTCAAATATAAGACTATGTCATTGGCAAAAAAAGATAATTTGACTTCTTTTCCAACTGGGGTGCCTTTTATTGCTTTCTGTTGTCTGATTGCTCCAGATAGGACTTTCAGAATTATGTTGAATAACAGTGGTAAAAGTGGACATTCTTGTCATCTTCCAGATTTTAGAGGAAAGGCTTTTAGTTTTTCCCCACTTAGTATGATACTAGCTGTGGGTCTGTCATATATGACTTTTATTATGTTGAGGTATGTTCATTCCATACCGAGTTTTCAAAGAGTTTTTTATAATTAAAGAATATTAAGTTTTATCAAATAATTTTTTAGCATAATTGAAATGATTATATGGATTTTGTCCTTTTATTTATTTATTTATTTTTGAGATGAAGTCTCCCTCTGTCACCCAGGCTGGAGTGCATTGGTGTGATCTCAGCTCACTGCAACCTCTGCCTCCTGGGTTCAAGTGATTTTCCTTCTTTAGCCTCCCGAGTAGCTGGGATTACAGGCACCCACCACCGTGCCTGCTTAATTTTTGTATTTTTAGTAGAGACGGGGTTTTGCCATGTTGGCCAGACTGGTTTCAAACTCCTAAACCCAGGTGATCTGCCAGCCTCAGCTTCCCAAAGTGCTGGGATTACAGGCATGAGCCACTGTGCCTGACCCCTTCATTCTGTTTATGTGATGTATCACATTGATTAATTTGAATGTTGAACCATCTTTGCATCCCTGGGATAAATCCCACTTGGTCATTATGACTTACCTATTTATGTATTGTTTAATTGAGTTTGCTAGGTGTTTTGCAAATTTTTGCACCAATATTCTCAGATATGGGCCTGTAGTTTGCCTTTTTAATGTGTCTTTGTCTGGTTTTGATATCAGGGTAATACTAGCCTCAAAGAATGAGTTTGGAAATGTTCTTTCCTTCTCTATTTTTCAGTCTGGTCCTACTGACTTTTTTATTAAGGCTTTAATTTTGTTAATTGTTATTGGTCTGTTCAGGTTTTAGATTTTTTCCTAGTTCAATCTGGGTAAGCTGTGTGTATCTAAGAATTAATTTCCTCTAGGTTTTCTAATTTGTTGGCATACAATTGCTGATAGTAGCCACTAATGACCTTTTGATTTTCTGAAGCGTTACTTGTAATGTCTCCTTTTTCACCTCTGATTTTACTAATTTCTATCTTCTCTGTTTTTTAGTTAGCCTGTCTAAATATTTGTCAACTGTTTTACTTTTCAAAAAATCAACTTTTTGTTTCATTAATCTTTTGCATTGTTTTCTTCATTTTATCTTTATTTACTTCCACTGTAATCTTTATTATTTCTTTCCTTCTAATTTTGGGTTTGGTTTGGCCTTTTCATTCTAGTTAATTAAGATGTATTGTTAGGTTATTTATTTGAAGCTTTTCTGTTTTTTATGTAGGCACTTACAGTTATAAATTTTCCTTTTATAATAGTACCTCTTTTACTATATTCCATAGGTTTTGCTATGCTATGTTTCCATTATCATTTGTTTCAAGAAATTTTTCTGTGTTCTTCTTAACTTTTTTATCGACCTACTAATCATTCAGGATCATATTGTTTAATGTCCACGTGTGTGTATAGTTTCTGAAATTCCTTTTTAAATTGATTTCTAGTTTTATTCCCTGTCGTCAGAGAAAATGCTTGATATTACTTCAATTTTTTGGAATGTTTTTAGACTTGTTACTTAACATATGGTCTATCCTTGAGAATAACCCATGTGCTGAGGAGAAGAATGTTTATTCTGCAGCTGTTGCATGAAATTTTCTGTAAATATCTATTAGGTTCATTTGTTCTATAGTGCAGATTGTCTGATGTTTCTTTGTTGATTTTCTGTCTGCAAGGTCTATCCAATGCCTAAAGTGGGGTATTGAAGTGTCCAGCCATTATTGTATTGAGGTCTCTTTCTTTAGCTCTTATAATATTTGCTTCATTTATCTAGGTGCTTTAGTGTTGAGTGCATATATATTTTCAATTATTATATCCTCTTGATGAATTGATCTGTTTATTATTATATAATGACCTTTTTAATCTCTTTCTACAGTCTTCTGTTGAAATCTATTTTTGTCTGGTATAAGTATAGCTATTTCTGCAAAGAACTCAAACAAATTTACAAGAAAAAAACAAACAACCCCAGTGGGTGAAGGATATGAACAGACACTTCTCAAAAGAAGACATTTATGCAGCCAACAGACACATGAAAAAATGCTCATCATCACTGACCATCAGAGAAATGCAAATCAAAACCACAATGAGATACCATCTCACACCAGTTAGAATGGTGATCATTAAAAAGTCAGGAAACAACAGGTGCTGGAGAGGATGTGGAGAAATAGGAACACTTTTACATTGTTGGTGGGACTGTAAACTAGTTCAACCACTGTGGAAGACAGTGTGGCTATTCCTCAAGGATCTAGAACTAGAAATAGCATTTGACCCAGCCATCCCATTACTGGGTATATATCCAAAGGATTATAAATCATGCTGCTATAAAAAAATGGAGGCTTTCTAAATAGATCTTCATTAATGTTGAGGTTTTAAGTCTTGGTCTCAGCCAAAAGGAATTCCTCGCATACCCAGGAGGGATGAAACACTTGCATTGTCGCGTTAGATATTCTTAGAGAGAAAGAGGACCACGCGTAATGGAAAATTGCTAACTTTGCCTCAGGGAGACCAGGTTGATTCACTGAGAAAGTTTGAATTGGTTTAGAAAGCATAGTTCTGAGTTTTCTAGGAGAAGGAGAAAAGTTAGGGTAGGGCATAAGAAGTAATGCCCACATCAAAAAGTTAGAAAGATCTCAAATTAACAACCTAACATCACAACTGAAAGAATTAGAGAAGCAAGAAGAATTCAACCACAAAGTTTATAGAAGACAAGAAATAACTAAAATCAGAGCAGAACTGAAAGAAATAGAGACATGAAAAACTATTCAAAAAATCACTTAATCAAAGTTTTTTGAAAAAATTAGTAAGATAGATAGGGTACTAGCTAGATGAATAAAGAAGAAAAGAGAGAAGATTCAAATAAACAAAATTAGAAATGATGAAGGGAATGTTACCACTGACCCCAGAGAAATAAAAATAACAACCAGCAACTACTATGAACACATCTACACACACAAACTAGAAACCCTAGAAAAGATGGATAAATTCCTGGCCACATACACCATCTCAAGGCTGAACCAGGAAGAAACTGAGTCCCTGAACAGACCAATAATGAGCTCCAAAAATTCAATCAGTAGTAAATAGCCTACCAAGCAAAAAAAAAAAAAAAAAAAAAAAAAAAAAAAAAAAAAAAAAAAAAAGCCCAGGACTTGATAGATTAATAGTAAAATTTTAACAGATATACGAAGAAGAGCCAGTACCATTCCTACTAAAACTATTTCAAGAAATAGAGGAGGAGGGACTCTTCCCCAACTTGTTCTACAAGGCCAGCATCATCCTGATACCAAAGCCTGGCAGTGACACAACAAAAAAAGAAAGCTTCAGGCCAGTATCCTTGATGAACATCCATTCAATAATCCACAACAAAATCCTTGCAAACCGAATCCAGCAACACATCAAAAGTCTAATTCACCACAGTGAAGTAGGATTCTTCCCTGGAATGGAAGGTTGGTCCATCATGGGCAAATCAATAAAATGTGATTTATAACATAAATAAAACTAAAGACAAGAACCACGTAATTGTCTCAATAGACGCAGAAAAGCCTTCAGTAAAATTCAGCAATGCTTCATGTTAAAAAGTCTCAATAAATGAGATATTGAAGGAACATACCTCAAAATAATAAAGGCCACCTATGACAAACTCACAGCCAGCATTATACTAAATGGGCAAAGTCTGGAAGCATTCTCCTTGAAAACTGGCACAAGACAAAGATGCCCTCTCTCACCACTCCTATTCAACACAGTATTAGAAGTCCTTGCTGGAGCAATCAGACAAGAGAAAGAAATAAAGTGTATTTAAATAGAAAGAGAAGTCCAACTACCTCTGTTTGCAGACAACATAATTCTCTATCTGAACCCTATAGTTGTGACCCAAAAGCTCCTTAAGCTGATACAACTTCCACACAGTTTCAGGATACAAAATCAATGTACAAAATTTGCTAACATTCCTACACACCAAGAAGAGCCAAACTAAGAGCCAAATCAGAGAGGCAATTTTATTCACAATTTCCACAAAAAGAATAAAATACATAGGAATACAGCTAACCAGGGTGGTGAAAAATCTCTATAATGAAAATTACAAAACACTGCTCAAAGAAGTCAGAAAAAACACAAACAAATGAAAAATCATTCCATGTTAATGGAGAGAAAGAAGTAATATCATTTAAATGGTTGTACTGCCCAAAGCTATATTAAACTACCAATGACAGGCTTCACGGAAGTAGAAAAAGCTATTTAAAAATTCGCATAGAACCAAGAAAGAACCTAAGTAGCCAAGGCAATCTGCAAAGCTTGAGGCATCACATTACTTGACTTCAAACTATACTACAGCACTACAGTAACCAAAACAGCATGGTACTGGTATAAAAACAGACACATACACCAATGGAACAGAATAGAGAGCCCAGAAATAAGACCACAGACCTACAATTATCTAATCTTTGACAAAGCTGGCAAAAACAAGCAATGGGGAAAAGATTTCCTATTCAATAAATGGTGCTGGAATAACTTGCTAGCCATATGCAGAAGATTGAAGTTGGTCTTCTTCCTTATACCACACACAAAAATCAACCCAAGATGGATTAAATACTTAAATGTAAAACCCAAAACTATAAAAGCCCTGGAAGACAACCTAGGCAATACCATCCTGGACATAGAAACAGGCAAAGATTTCATGATAAAGACACCAAAAACAATTACAACAAATGCAACTATTGACAAGTGGGATCTAATTAAACTTAAAAGCTTCTGCTCAGCAAAAGAAATTATCAATAGAGTGAACAGACAACCTATAAAATGAGAAAAAGTATTTACAAACTATGTCTCTGACAAGGATCTAATATTCAATATAAGGAACTTAAATTTACAAGAGAAAAACAAACAACCCTATTAAAAAGTGTCCAAAGAATTGTCTATTCATGTCCTTAGCCTACTTTTTGATGGGATTGTTTGTTTTTTTTCTTGCTAATTTGTTTGAGCTCATTGTATATTCTGGATATTAGTTCTTTGTCAGATATACAGATTGTGAAGATTTTCTCCCATTCTGTGGATTGTCTGTTTACTCTGCTGACTGTTCCTTTTGCCGTGAAAAAGCTCTTTAGTTTAATTAAATCCCACCTATTTATCTTTGTTTTTCTTGCATTTGCTTTTGGGTTCTTGGTCATGAAATCTTTGCCTAAGCCAATGTCTAGAAGGGTTTTTTTGATGTCATCATCTAGAATTTTTATACTTTCAGGTCCTAGATTTAAGTTCTTGATCCATCTTGAGTTGATTTTTGTATAAGGTGAGAGATAAAGATCCAATTTCATTCTCCTACTTGTGGCTTGCCAATTATCCCAGTACCATTTGTTGGGTAGGGTGTTCTTTCCCCACTTTGTTTTTGTTTGCTTTGTCAAAGATCAGTTGGCTGTAAATATTTGGGTTAATTTCTGGGTTCTTCATTATGTTCTATTTGTCTATGTGCCTGTTTTTATACAAGAACCATGCTGTTTTGGTGACTATGGTCTTATGATATAGTTTGAAATCAGGTAATGTGATGCCTTCTGATTTGTTCTGTTTGTTTAATATTGCTTTGGCTATGCGGGCTCCTTTTTGGTTCCATATGAATTTTAGGATTGTTTTTTCTAGTTCTGTGAAGAATGATGATGGTATTTTGATGGCAATTGCATTGAATTTGTAGATTGCTTTTGGCACTACGGTCATAGACAATTCTCAGAAGATATACAAATGGCCAACAAACATATGAAAAAATGCTCAACATAACTAATGATCAGGGAAATGCAAATTACAACCACAATGCAATGCCACCCTACTCCCACAAGAATGGTCATAATAAAAAAATAGTAGATGTTGGTGTGAATGTGGTGAAAAGGGAACGCTTCTGCACTGCTGGTGGGAATGCAAGCTAGTACAATCACTATGGACAATAGTGTGGCGATTCCTTAAAGAACTAAAAGTAGAAGTACCATTTGATCCACCAATCCCACTACTGGCTATGTACCCAGAGGAAAAAAAAGTCATTATAAGAAAAAAGATACTTGCACACACATATTTATGGCAGCACAATTTGCAATTGCAAAAATGTAGAACCAATCCAAGTGCCCATCAATCAACGAGTGGATGAAGAAACTGTGGTACATACGTACGATGGAATACCACTCAGCCACAAAAAGGAATGAATTAATGGCAGTTGCAGCAACCTGGATGGGATTGAAGACTATTATTCTAAGTGAAGTAACTCAGGAATGGAAAACCAAACATCATATATTCTCACTTATAATTGGGAGCTAAGCTATAAGGATGCAAAAGCATAAGAATGACACAATGGACTTTGGGGACTCAGGGAGAAAGGGGAGAAGGTGGTGAGGGATAAAAGGCTACAGATTGGGTTCAGTGTATACAGATGAGGTGATGGATGCACCAAAATCTTACAAATCAATCAATAACTTACCAATGTAACCAAATGCCCCCTGTTGTCCTAAAACCTATGGAAATAAAAAAATGTTTAAAAAGTGGGCAAAGGACATGAACGCTTTTCAAAAGAATATATACATGTGACCAACAACCATAGAATACAAAGCTCAATATCACTGATCATTAGAGAAATGCAAATCAAAGGCACAGTGAGACACCATCTCACACCAGTCAGGATGGCTACTATGAAAAAGTCAAAAAATAACAGATGCTGGCAAGGTTGTGGAGAAAGAGAACACATACACTGTTGGTGGGAGTGTACATTGGTCCCACCATTGTGGAAAGCACAACAGTGCTTTCCTCGAAAGAGATAAAAGCAGAACTATCACTTGACCCAGCAATCTCACTACTGGGTATATACCCAGAGGTATATAAATTGTTCTGTCATAAGGACACAAGCACGTAAATGTTTGTTGCAGCACTATTCACAATAGTAAAGACATGGAATCAACCTAAATGCCCAACGATGACAGATTGGATGCAGATAATATGGCACACTGTGGAGGAAAAGTTAAATATTAAATTTGAACTCAATTGAACATGGACACAAACAATGGTCACTAAGTCCTGGAATGAGTTGTGTGAGCCCCTTGAGGCATCCATCCAGTGCTGCTTCGGAGAAACAGTTATTGAAAAACAACAGTTATTGAAAAACAGTTATTGAAAAACAACAGGCAATTGCAAAAACAAATTGACCTTTTTGTGTTCCTTGAGCTCAGTTGCGAAGGGCCCTCATGACTGGGCCTCATGACAAACAACTTGTTACAAAAAGAGCTCGGTTTCCAGATCGCACCGAAGCTTCCTGGGACCTCTCCTCATCTGTGCACGGACTAGTGGCCAATTCTGAATCCCAGGCTGTTGTTTCCCAGTCTGGTGATGAATCCTCCACAGTCTGGTGAGTGTAAATGTATATAAATGTATGTATATACTTTTTCCCTTCTCCCCTTCCCATTAAAATTTGTTTGTTGTATCATTTGCTTATTATATCTATATTGCCATATACTCGGGGTAAAGTCTGTTTACCTTTAAAAGTATTGTGTGTTTCTTTTCTTTCCTCACACGTTTCCCACACAGAACACACATATGCACCATGGAATACTATGCAGCTACGTGTTCTCACTTGTAAATGGGAGCTAAATAATGAGAACTTATGAACACAAGGGAACAACAGACAACAGACACTGGGGGTCTACCTGAGCGGGGAAGGTGGGAGAAGGGAGAGGAACAGAAAAGATAACTGTGGGGTACTGGGCTTAATACTTGTGTTATGAAATAATCTGTATAACAAGCCCCTGTGTTATGAGTTTATCTATGTAACAAACCTTCACATGTACCCCCAAACCTAAAATAAAACATTTTTTAAATCCTTTATGAAAGCTGTAAGATCTGCTCCTGTGTGTTTGTATGTCTATATGTGTTACATGTATGTAATAATATTTTGTAAATAAAGCTCATTCTTAAATCGTTAAATAGAAATGGCTTTACAATTATCCATTAAAAATAATTAGATACTTGCTTGATTTAACTGTGAGCTTACATCTTTTGTTGAGAGTTTCTTGATTCATGGGTCTTGATAGGTGAACATGAAGAAGTATGGAGACACATTCTCAGTGCCTAGACCAGCAGCTACAAGCCAGAATCAAGCCCAATCGGCCCCTTCTTTCTATGCTTTCCCTGTTTTGCCTCCTGGCTATTTTAGGCGGGGGTGGATCCTCCAGTTATAGCCTTCACAGTTCTGTCTTTAGTCCTAATGGACTCAGGCAGGCCCTGATCTTCATAGTTCTCCTGGGTGCCATGTGGCTACTTGGAACCGAGGATTACTGAGGGAAGACATTACGGATGCCACCTGTGTCATAGTTTCAAAATTCTGTTCATTAATTTAAAATCTTAAAATCACATTAAATTAAGTAATACATAACCATAAAATATCTTGAGTCATTTGTAAGCTAAAATATTGAAATACTAACCATTAAAAATTAGTTTAGGTCTATATACCATGACACGTTACTTGTATATGGTATACAAAACCTAAATATCTTTAGTTCTGTTAATAAACAGTAATTTGAAGAATTATATTTCTTAAAAGTTATAAAATGGTTTTTATCTAAAAATACTGATACAAGACAGTTGAAAATCACTTTTTAGGGTTTTCACTGAAAATTGGGGCTCCTAAGACTTAATTACTAGATATGAGAGAAACAATTCTGCATACAGAGTGTATAAAAAGCAAGATACGCTTTTTTTTTCTTTTTTTGAGAACGAGTCTTGCTCTGTTGCCCAGGCTGGCATGCAGTGGCATGATCTCAGCTCACTGCAACCTCTGCCTCCCCGGTTCGAGTGATTCACCTGCCTCAGCCTCCCAACTAGCTGGGATTACAGGTGCTCGCAACCACACCCGGCTAATTTTTGTATTTTTAGTAGAGATGGAGTTTCACCATGTTGGCCAGGCTGATCTCGAACCCCTGACCTCAAGTGATGCACCTGCCTCGGCCTCCCAAAGTGCTGGGATTACAGGCTTGTGAACATACGCTTTTGATGATAAAACTTATAAAGACATAAAAATGTGTTTTAATTTTTTTTTGGTTTGAAGTTACTTAAAGATTTCAAATTGAAGAAGTAAAAAAAAACTAGATAAAACTAGATAAATATAGAAAGTTGGGGGAAAATGCAAAGCATACGTTCACAAAAATCTGGGATTAAAAGATGACAACATTTGATAAATTTATTTATAAAGTTTTATTAAATTAACTTTAGAGGCTGGGCATGGTGGCTCACGCCTGTAAATAATAAAATTATCTTGCCAATTATGTCTAACTATGATAGTTTAAAGTCATTTCCACTGTAAATTGCTTAATTCTGAGGCAGTTTCTGAAAACTTTACAAGCTTGCAAAATCCTGGAATATTGTTTCTTTAAGGAGGTTCATGAAAGGATGGAGAAGGCCCTGAGAAGTACTCTTGAATATAGGTTTTTGAGAACTTTAGAATTATATTATTTGAACTGGGTAAGAATTTCCAGAACTTTAATGAAGAGACTGACTGGTTAATAAAATTGCTAACCCAAGCAGAATAAAAATCAATTGAATACCAAGAAAATACTTTGCCAGATTTTCATGCCAAATCAGCTAGTACTTAAATTGTCTAGATAAAGAATTTGAATGAACTGCATAGTCCAAGTCAAATTATCTATGATAATCCCTGCTTAGTCAGTGCTATGCACCTAAGTTGAAGAAACAGTCCAATGTTAAGCATGGAGAACCAGAATGTCTTCCTTGTCCTTCCTGAGTTCTGAAAGCTTTTCTTATTAAAAGTTCTGCATTCTGATTCTTGGGTGTGAGAGTAAAGCAAGACGGCAGAAAGAAGGCTCCACTGATTGTCCCTCCTGCAAGGACACCAGATGAATAACTATTAATATCCACATAGAAAATACATTCATAAGAACCAAAAATCAGGTGAGTACTCAAAGTATCTGGTTTTAACCTCAGATCACTGAAAGAGGCACTGAAGAGACAGAAAAAACAGTCCTGAAATCACCATTTCCTTATCCCCAGCAGTGATGGCATGGTGCAGACAACAACTCTGGGTTCTGCAGGAGGGAGAACACAGCAATTGTGACGCACTGCACTCAGTGCTGTCCTGTTAGAGCAGAAAGGAAAACCAGACCAAATGCAGTTAATGCCCATCCACAGAGGGATCAATTAAACCAGCCCTAGCTAGAGGGGAATCAGATTCCAGTGGTTGGAACTTCAGTGTTTGGAAACCTGGCAACTAAGGGCTCCCGCACTGTGTGTCTAAGAAAACTTGAAAGGCAGCCTAGGCCATCAGGACTGCAACTCTTAGGTGAGGCCTAGGGCTGAACCGGGCCCAGGGACAGTGGACTGGGGTGGGGAGGGCATGCAACACACTGAGACACCAGCTGGGGCAGCCAAAGGAGTTCTGGCATTATCACTCCCTTAACACCAGACTGCACAGCTCATGGCTCCAAAAGGGACACCATCCTTCTGCTTGAGGAGAGGAGGGAAAAGAGTAGGGAGTACTTTGTCTTTCATCCTGGACACCAGCTCAGTCACAGCAAGATAGTGCACTGGTCAGAATCCTGAGGCCTCCTTTCCAGTCTCTGGCTCCTAGACATTCCTAGACACATCCTGGGCCAGAAGGAAACCTGCTGCCTTGAAGAAAAGAACCATGTGCTGGCAGGATTTATCGCCTGCAAACTTGAAAACCTTTGGGCTCTGAATAACCAGCAGCCATACCCAGTACTACATCAAGGGCCTTGGATGACCCTCATAGACTTGCTAGATTTAGGTGAACTCAGCACATTACCAGCTGTGGTAGCTAAAAGGCAAAACTCCTTCTTCTTGGGAAAAGTAGAGGGAAAATTAAAGGGGACTTTGTCTTGCCCCTTAGGTACCAGCAAGGCCAGAGGTGGGTAGAGCACCAAGCAAAATTTCATAATCCCTGATTCTAGGATTTGATTCTTGGCTGGCATTTATGAAGCTGCCCAGGGCCAGTAGGGAGCCCATTGCCCTGAAAACGGCAAGTCCCAGGCCAGGCAGCATTCATCGCAAGTTGACAAGAGGTTTTGGGCCTTAAGGGAACATTGGTGGTAGCCTGGCAGTACTCATTGTGGCCTGAGGTGGTGGTGGCTACTCTGCCTTTAGGAAAGGAAGGGAGGAATGGGAAGGACTATGTCTTGTGGTTTGAGTGTCAGGTCAGCTGCAATGCAATAGAATGTCAGGTGGACTTCTAAAACTTTTGACTCTACTCCCTGACTTCTGAATGGCACTTCTCGACCCAGCCAGGGACTGAGGGCACTCACTGCCCTAAAGGAAAGAACACAGGCCTGGCTGGCTTTGCCACCTGCTAATTGTAGAGACCAAAGGCCTTGAGTGAACATAGGCAGTCATCAGAAAGTGCATGCAGCAGGACTTGAGCAAGACCCAGTGCTGTGCTAGCTTCAGGTCTGATCCAGGGCAGTCATAGTGGTGGTGGCCAGGGGTGCTTGTGTCTTTCTTCTCCCAGCTTTAGGTGGCTTAGAACAGAGAGAAAGACTCTGTATCTTTGAGAGAAAATAATGGTAGAGAACAAGAGTCTCTGGCTAGTAATCTAGAAAATTCTCCTGGATCTTGTTGAAGGCTGTCAAGGTGGTACTTCTCTGAGTCTGGAAGAATTACAGCATTATTGGGTACAAGGTACCCATAAAGCAGATATGGCTTAGATCACAACACCCAAGTCTTTTAAAATATGTGAAAAGTCTTCCCAAGAAAGACAGCTACAAATAAGCCCAGACAGTGAAGACTACAATAAATACTCACCTTTTCTCTTTTTTAATTTTATTTTTTAAACCTCTCATATGGTGCTGCATGCCCAAGAATTTAATGTCCAGACACTGAATAACATCTACTAGCATCAACACCATCCAGGAAAACATGACCTCACCAAGTGAACTAAATAAGGCACCGGGGACAAATCCTGGAGAAAAAGAGATATGTGACCTTTCAGACAGAGAATTCAACATAGCTGTATTAAAAAAAAACTGAAAGAAATTTAAGATAACAAAATAAAGAAATTCCAAATTTTGTCAGCTAAACTCAACAAAGAGATTGAAAAATTTACAACAAATTAAGCAGAAATTCTGGAGCTGAAAAATGCAATTGGCATGCTGAAGAATGCATTAGAGCCATTTAATAGCAGAATGGATCAAGCAGAAGAAATAGTGAGCTTGAAGACAGGCTATTTGAAAATACGTAGTCAGAAGAGACAAAAGAAAAAGAATAAAAACAACAAATCATGCCTACAGGATCTAGAAAAATAGCCTCACAAAGACAGATCTAAGAGTTATTGGTTTTAAAGAAGATGTAGAGAAAGAGGCAGGGGTAGAAAAATTTATTCAAAGGGATAATAACAGAAAACTTTCCAAACCTAGAGAAAGATATCCATATCCAACTACAAAAATGTTATAGGACATTAAGCAGATTTAACCCAAAAAAAGACTACTTCAAAGCATTCAATAGATCTTCCAAAAGTCAAAGATAAAGAAAAGTTCTAAAGGAAGAAAGAGAAGAGAAACAAAGAACATAACAGTGAGCTCCAACACCTCTGGCAGCAGACTTTACGGTGGAAACCCTACCGGCCAGGAGAGAGAAGCAATAAATATTTAAAGTACTAAAGGAAAAAAAACCTTTTACCTTAGAATAGCATATACAGTGAAAATATTCTTCAAATAAAAAGAAGAAATACTGACTTTTCCAGACAAAAGCTGAAGTATTTTATGAATACCATGTCTGTCCTAAAGGAATGCTAAAGAGAGTACTTCAATCAGGAAGAAAAGGACATTAATGAGCAATAAATGATCACCTAAAGGTAAAAAAAATCCTCAGTGCTAATAGGATACAAAACAAAACAGAATATTATAACGCTGTAGCTGTGGGATGTGCAAACTACTCTTATTCAAAGTAGGAATACTAAATAATATCCAATCAAAAGTAATAGCTACAACATTTCCAGACATAGCACAATAAAATATAAATAGAAACAACAAAAAGTTAAAAAGTGAAGGGATGAGCACACCCGTCCTGAGCCGGCCGATGTGGTGGAGCTCGGAGCTCGGGAGCCGGGGACGCCCTGGAGCGTGGGCGGAAGGGAGGCCGCCCCGAGAGCCGGAAGCCTGGGCAGGGCACGGAGGCCTAGGACGCCCCCCAGCAACAGCAGGGCGGCGCCACATTGGTCCTGCGCGAGGCCTGGCCGCCGGCGACGGCGGGACGCTCTGGGAGGCCGGCGGTGCTCGGGCGTAGAGGGAGACAGCTGCCCGGGGGCACGGACGAGCGGCTCTGGGGGTCCCGGATCCGAGCCCCGCTGCCCCGGGGTGGCGGTGACGCCTGGAGCCGGGCGGACGTGGCTGGGCCGGGCTGTCGGGGCGGGCAGGCGCCGCTGCCGGTGTCTAGGCCACACCACCCTGAGCGCGCCCCAGCTCCTCTGAGCTCGTGAAGCTAAGCAGGGTCCGGCCTGGTTAGTACTTGGATGGATTCCGCCTGGGAATAGCGGGTACCGTAGGCTTTTGGCTTCCCGCTCCCTCCCTCTTTCCCCGTTTTGTCTCCGTGCTTCCCAACCGCCCCCTCCCTCCACCCTGTCCGCCCCTGCGCCCCAGCCGAAGCCCAGGACCTCCCCCTGAAGATCCGCCACTGCAGCACCGCCAGGCAGCAGCATCCCACCTTTTCCGACTCGCCGCAGCCCCACCAGGAGCCGGGCTCCAACCCAGGCGGACTGGACCGACCCCGAGGGCGCAGGCGCGGGTTCCCTGAGGTCCCGGGTGTCTTTCACGCTCCCCGGAAGCCCAGGCAATTCATTCATCCAGCGCCGCTGCGACGGTCCAAACCGGGGGAAGGGGCGGGCAGGGGCAGCGGGTCCCACAGACGCCAGCCGAGACCTCCGCTCCGGAACCCGTGGGCTGCTTTACCCGGGGGAAGGACATTGCCCTCGCCAGCCGTGAGGAAATCCGTCCCTGTGCACTTTGCCACCGACTTCGTGTAAATTCCAGTCCCGAGGACACGAGAGAGACCCAGGCCTGGCCCCGTGGACAGGCTCAGAGCCAGGGCTCTCGCCAGACGGATGGGCGCATCTACAAATCTGGGGGGCCACCGCATCGAGAAGACAGAAAGAAGCAAACAAAGGAAGGACCCTATGAAACGCACCCCCAAAGCAAACAACCAATCCAAGAAAAAACACGTCTCAGGGCTCCGTTGGTTTTCCCGCATGGGGGGCCCTGACCCCCTGTTCTAGCCCGGCCTAAGCACCCTCCACCCCACCCCGGCCTGCTCAAAGGGGGCCTGTCTACCTGAGCAGAGCCTCCCTCTCCAAGGCTCTGTCGCTCTCGCTCTGCAACTCCCTCAGCCTCTCCCTTTCTCTACTTCCCCTTCCACCTCGCGCTCTTCTGTCGCGCTCTCTCTTTCCCTCTCTCTCTCTCTCTCCTCCCCCACTCTCTGTCTCTCTCTCTCTCTATCGCTGTCTCTCTCTCTCCCTCTGGTTCTATCTCTCCATTCCTCTCTCCCTTCCTCTCCTTCTGTAGCAGGAGGAGCCGCAGACAAAACCCCTCAGACACCGAGTTGTAGAAGGAAGGGCTTTATTCAGCTGGGATCATCCGCAGACTCATGTCTCCAAAAACCGAGCTCCCCGACTGAGTAATTCCTGTCCCTCTTAAGGGCTTACAACTCTAAGGGGGTCTGCGTGAGAGGGTCGTGATCCATTGAGGAAGCAGAGGGTACTGACTGGGGGCCGCATGCAGCGGTAATTAGATCAGAACAAAACAGGACAGGGATTTTCACAGTGCTTTTCGATACAATGTCTGTAATCTATAGACAACATAACCGAGTAGGTCAGGGGTATATCTTTAACTACCAGGCCCAGGGTGTGACACCGGGCTGTCTGCCTATGGATTTCATTTCTGCCTTTTAGTTTTTACTAAAAGCGGTGCGCCCATGTGTGTCTGTTTGGGAATGGGTTTGCTCGTGATTGTGGTGGGGTGTGTCTGGATGTCCGTCAGTAACTTTGTCCCGGGATCAGGCTGCCTACTCTATCGCCAGCGCATGGGTGTCACAGTTGCTGTGTTAGTCTCAGTACGCAGAAATTGGGCATAAGACAATATGAGGGGTGGTCTCCTCCCTTACTTCAAGCTATCTTTGTCTGTGTCTGTGTCTTTGTGTGTCCGTGTGTGTGTGCCCGTGTGTGTCTCCGTGTGTGTCCGTGTGTGTGTGACCGCGCGCGTGCTCCCGTGTGTATCTGTGTGCGTGTCGGGGTGGGTTTGCTCGTGGTGGTGGGGTGTGTCTGGGTGGCCCATCAGCCCCTCTCCCCCGGGATCAGGCTGCGGGGGCTCTAGTGCCAGCGCGGGGCAAAGCAGGGCCTTGGCCAACGGGGCGAGTCCTCGTTGGGACAAGCGACAATGGTGTGGGCGTTGTGAGAAAAAGGGCCCTCAGGGCTGGGCCGGCTGTTTGCCCCTGGACAGCCCTGACGGCTCTGGGTGTGTGGGGCAAGAGGGGGCCTTGCAGGAGGGGCGGCGAGGGATCCAAAACAATTTTTCTGCGGCAAGACGAAGGACCGGAGGGGATCCCAGGACAGTTGGCCCTGGGCCCTGACGCCTCGGAGCACACCCCGTCCTGAGCCGGCCAGATGTGTTGGAAGCTTGGGAGCTCCCAAGCCGGGGAAGGCCTGGAGCGTCTGCGAAAAGGGAGGCCACCTGGTGTGCCTGGAGCCTGGGCAGGGGACTGAGGTCTCTGGCTCTCCCGCGCTGCAGCAGGGCGGTGCCACGGCGCGTTCTCTGGCCGCAGGCGACGGGGGTGGCTCTGGGAGGCCGGCGGAAGGCGCAGCGCGGCGGCCGGCGGTGCTGGGACCTTGATGGCGAGAGCAGCCCGGCCGCGGGGGAGCGGTTCTGGGGCCCCGGATCTGAGCCCCGCGGCCCAGGGGTGGCGGTGACGCCAGGAGTCGAGCAGCCGCCACTGCCGGCCTTTACGGCCACACCACCCTGAACGCACGGGATCTCGACTGACCTTGAAAGCTAAGCAGAGTCGGGCCTGGTTAGTACTTGGGATGCGAGACCCCCTGGGAATACAGGGTGCTGAAGGCTTTTGGCTCCCCGCTCCCTCCCTCTTTCCCCCTTTTGTCGCCGTGCTTCCCAACGGCCCCCTGACTCTACTCCCACTTTTCCGCACGCCTGCGCTCCACAACGCATGGGCTGGTTTCCACCGCGGAAGGACATTGCCTTCGTCAGCCACCAAGAAAACCGTCCCTGTGCACTTGGATTTTCATTGCCACCGACTTCGTGTAAAATCCAGTCTCGGGGACACGAGAGAGACCCAGGTCTTGAGCCCTGTAAGCACGCTCGGCGTTATGGCTCCGGTCAGATGGACAGGCGCACTCTACAAATCTCGGAGCCTACTGCATCAAGAAGACAGAAAGGAGCAAACAAAGGAAGGACCCTACCAAACGCACCCCTGAAGTAACTAACCAATCCAAGAGTGAACACGTCTCAGGGCTCAGTTAGTCCTCTCCCTTGGACGGCCCTGCCCCCCTGTTCTGGCCCAGCCCAAGCACCCTCCACCCCACCCCGGCCTGCTCAAAGGGGCCCTGTCTGCCAGAGCAGAGCCTCCTCCAAGGCTCTATGGCTCTCGCTCTCCAGCTCCCTCATCCTCTCTTTTTCTCTTCTTCCCCTCCACCTCTCGCTCTTCTGTCACCTTCTCTCCGTCTCTCCCCACCCTCTCTGTCTCTATCTCTGTCTCTGTCTCACCCTTTGTTTCTATCTCTCCATCCCTCTCTCCCTTTCTGTCCTTCAAGCCGTCTGTGTCTTTGTGTGTGTGTCCGTGCGTGTCCGTGTGCGTGTGCGCGCGCCCGTGTGTATCTGTGTGTGTGTGGGGGGGGTGGGTTTGCTCGTGGTGGTGGTGGGGTGTGTCTGGGTGTCCGTCAGCCCCTCTTTCCCGGGATCAGGCTGCCGGGGCTCTAGTGCCAGCGCGGGACAAAGCAGGGCCTTCCTGCCCCGTTGGCCACGGGCCGGTCTTCCTCGGGACAAGCGACAATGGTGTGGGCGTTGTGAGAAAAAGGGCCCGCGGGGCTGGGCCGGCTGTTCGCCCCCGGGCAGCCCTGGCTTCTCTGGGAGCGTGGGGCAAGAGGGGGCCTTGCAGGAGGGGCGGCGAGGAATCCAAAATAATTTTTCCGCGGCAAGGCGGAGGACCAGAGGGGATCCCAGGACCGTGGGCCCTGGGCCCTGACACCTGGGATCACACCCCGTCCTGAGCAGGCCCCAAGTGTTGGAAGCTCCGGAGCTGGAGAGCCAGGGGAAGGCCTGGAGTGTCAGCTAAAGGGAGGCCGCCTGGAGAGTCCAGAGCCCTGGCAGGGAATGGAGGCCTCGGGCGCCTCAGCGGTCCTGCGCGTGGTCTGGCCGCCGGCGATAGCGGGACGCTCTGCGAGGCCGGCGGAAAACGCAGCGCGGCGACTGGTGCTTGGGCGTATAGAGGGGGAGAGCAGCCCGGCCGCGGGCGAGCGGCTCCGGGGGTGCCTGATCCCAGCCTCGCGGCCCCGGGTTGGTGGTGACGCCTGGAATCAGACGCGCGTAGCTGGACCGGGCTCTTGGACCAGCCAGGCGCCACCGCCATTGTCTACGGCCATACCATTCTAAACACGAGAGAAACCCAAGCCGGGGCCCGTGGGCACGCTCGGGGCCACTGCTCCCACCACAGGGACGGGCGCACTCGACAACTTTCAGGACCCACAGCACCAAGAGGACAGGGAGGAGCCAGCAAAGGAATGACGCTACGAAACGCACCCCCAAAGCCACCAACCAATCCAAGTGAAAACACGTCTCAGGGCTCCCTTGGTTTTCCCTCGTGGGCGGCCCTGCCCCCCTGTTCTAGCCCGGCCCAGGCACGCTCCACCCTACCCTGGCCAAAGGGGCCCCTGTCTACCAGAGCAGAGCCTCCTTCTCCAAGGCTCTGTTGCTCTCCTTCTCTAGCTCCCTCGCCCGCTCCCTTTCTCTACTTCCCTCTCCACCTTGCCCGCTCTCCTCCCTCTCTCTCTCTCTCTCTCTCTCGCTGTTTCTCTCTCTCCTTCCGTTTCTATCTTTCCATCCCTCTGTCCTTTGCTTTTCTTCAAGCTGTCTGTGTCTTTGTGTGTCTGTGTGTGTGCTTGTGTTCCCGCGCGTGCGCCCGTGTGTGTCTGTGTGTTTGGGAGTGGGTTTGCTAGTGATTGTGGTGGGGTGTGTCTGGATGTCCGTCAGTACCTTTGTCCTGGGATCAGGCTGCCAACTCTATTGCCAGCGCGTGGGTGTCACAGTTGCCCTGATAGTCTCACACACGCAGGTGTGTGGATCTCGTTCATTTTCATGTAGACAACGAGATCGAAACCACAGAGAAAAGAAACGTCCCGTGCATCACGGCCTGACGATGGATTCCTGTTTCCTGCAAAATGGGGGGTCTGCAATATAGCCTGTTTGAAACTGGAAAGGAGAGCACCGACACGATGCTGGTGTTCCACGCATTCCTGGAAGTTTCTGGGTCCCCACAGAGCTCGGGAAACAAACAGTCAACATGGTCACACTTTCGGGGGGCGGGGGCAGAGACTTGAGCAACAGGCACCTCTGCAGAGGGCAAAGAAACGTGGAATCCAGAATCACGCTTTAGTTGGCCTGAGCGTGATTCCTGTGTGGATGGGACTATCCGCCTCGCGCTCTGTTGCAGGGCTCAGCGTGGGGATATGTCATCTGTGAACCATGTGGATGAAAAACGGACAACCACCTGAGTCTCAGCTCATTGCTCTCTGGGGAATTCGCTCATTCCTTCGGAAACGGAATTCGTCTGAATCGCTCCGGGATGAAGTAACTCAGGCTGGCGATCCGGAGGGCCCAGCACTTAGCCCGCGCTGGGCACCCAGCATTTTCCCGGAGTGCTGGGTCCTGTTGGTTCTGGAGGCAGAAGACCGTTTTTCTGTCTGCCTTCCTTTATCTGTTTCTTGCTCCTTTTGTCCCTCGGTCCATCCTTCCGTCTGCTCTTCCCTTCCTCCCCTGGTTTTTTCCTCCCTTTCTCCCTCCCTCCCTCTTTCTCTCCTTTCCAGGGTCCCTCCGTCCATCCATCCTTTCCTAGCTCCATCCTTCCCTCCCACTCTGTCTCCGTTCCCGTCCTCATCTCTGCCTGCCTTGCCTCTTGCCTGGAAAGGGCAGCACCCTGGTTTGCACGGGGTCTCGGGTCTACATTTAGTTGCAAGGCGCTCCATGGTGCTGGCGAGGAGGCTGGCGGGACGGGGGTTGGCAAGTGTTGGTGAGCGAAGAGGCAGAGGAGTCGAGCCACGGAAAGGAGAACTGGCCTGGCTTCTGCCCCGGCCCAGCGCTTCGCGGACTGAGGTCTCCGCCAACTCGACTGAAGAACGCTGGGGAAAAAGGAATGAGAGCTCCGCCTGGGCTGGTTGGAAAACCTAGGCTGCTGCCTGCAAACCTGCGCATGCGCAGTAGACAGTCCACCTCCCGGTACCTGGGCGGGCCCTGGGATCCCCGGGATGCTCAGGAAAGAATGACAGCCCTCCTCTGTGTGGAGTCTCTCACCGGACCTGGAACTCAGGGATCCTAGACAGGTCAGCTGGAAGGGAAGGCACGCCTCTCCATACCGAGTCAGAGGTTCACCGCGAAAGAGAGGGCGCCATCCTGCCCCCACCCCGCCCCAACCCCGCTCCAACCTGCTCCTCCAGCAGAGCCCGGTGTTCTTCCTGGCTGAGGAGTGGTTCCAGCAGAGCGGGCTCTTCCACGTCCTTCAGCTCCCCCAGTGGCGCCGGATCTAGGAAAGGTCGTGCCTTTTGCTGAAACTCTGGTGTCTACAGGAGCTCATATAACAGGCTGGAGGTGACTGTAGACGAGCGCCCCGGCTCCTGGAGCGGTTGGGAGGCGCCTGGATGGCTGGCATCTGTGCTTGCCGCGGAGGCGTCCGGGGGCGCGGGCTGGGGAGGTGGAGCTGCCCCGGCTTGGGGTTCCCACGCCGCCCCGGCGACCTGGGGACCCCGGCCCCAGCCCCACCACGGACTCCCCTGGGACGTGGGTGGCGCAAGCACCCCTTGGCCCTGCGGCCCCGCTTGAGCGGGCCCAGGCTGTGCCACCGCGCAGGGGCCCGGCAGGCCGTCGCGCTGCGCGTCCCGGTCCTCCCGGCTTTTGCCCGGGTGCGGAGGCCACCGAGGAGCCTGAGGGTGGGAGAGCGCCCCGTCCGGAGGAGCCGGGGCGGCGTAGGCGAAATCCCCGCGCGCCGGGGCAGGTTGGGAGACCCCCTCTGCCGGCGCGGCCTGGCTGGGCTGCAGCGCGGGGGCGGCCCTCGCTGCCTGGCTCACGAAAGCCCCCTGTGGGAGAGCCCCAGGCGCGCAGGGCACGTGGGGTGCGGGAAGCCCCGTTCCCCACGCGCCGGTGTGGGCGAAGGCGACCCACGAGGGAGCAGGGTGACCCCCGCCAGGGGCCGCGCTGCACAGGCCGCCTGCCTGCGCGGGCGCCCTGCCACCCTGTCCCGGGTGCCTGGCCCTTCGATTCTGAAACCAGATCTGAATCCTGGACTCCGGGAGGCCCGTCTCTCTGGCCAGCTCCTCCCGGGCGGCGATGCCTGGAAAGCGATCCTTCTCAAAGGCTCGGAGGAGCAGGGCGGTCTGGGATCCGGTGACGGCGGTCCGCTTTCGCCGGCCTTCTGGCGGGCCGCGTCTCCCGGGCCAGGGCCGAGATTCCCGCCGGTGCTGCCTCAGCTGGCGTGACCTCTCATTCTGAAACCAAATCTGGACCCTGGGCTCCGGAATGCCGATGGCCTGGGCCAGCCGTTCTCTGGTGGCGATGCCCGGGTACGGGTTCCGCTCAAAGCAGGCTCGCAGGGCCTCGCTTTGGCTCGGGGTCCAAACGAGTCTCCGTCGCCGTCCTCGTCCCCGGGCTTCCGCGGGGAGGGTGCTGTCCGAGGGTGTCGGGAGGGCCATCGCGGTGAGCCCCGGCCGGAATTTCACGGACGGACGCGGGCAGAGAGAGGCCGGCGGGCTCCCGTGCACCTCAGCCGGCCTGTGCACTGCGGCAGGTGCAGCCAGGAGGCCCTTAGAAAGACCTACCACCTCCACCGCGTTATGAACATGCATGAGCTCGGGGCCCAAGGTCCCGGGGTAGCCCGCCCTCCGAAGCCGAAAACCACAGGGACCAGGGCCTTGTGGGGTGGGTGGGTGCAGGGCCGGATTGGAGGGGAAAGAGGGGCTTCCGGGGCTGGCTCTCTGAGGTTCTCCAGTAATTCTATGGAAACTGGAAGCCGCTGTCTTGACTCAGTTTTCAGGCAGAAACCACCCCGAAGGGTGGAGTGTGGAACTGAGCTTCCGTGACGGTCTTGAGTTTTCCAGGCCCTCTGTGGGTGTCGCCGTTGCCGTGATAGTTCACACACGCAGGGGTGTGGATCTCGTTCGTTTTCATGTAGAAAACGAGAGCGAAACTGCAGAGAAAAGAAACGTCGGGTGCATCACGGCCTGACCACGGATTCCTGTTTCCTGCAACAAGGGGAGTCTCCACTGTGGCCGGTCTGGAAACCGGAAAGGAGAGCGAAGTCACGATGCTGCTTTTCCACGCTTCGCTGGAGGTTTCTGTGTCCCCGCAGAGCTCGGGAAACAGCCAACGTGGTCGCGCTTTCGGGGGCGGGAGACACGCGAGCAACAGGTCCCCTTGCAGAGGGCGAAGGAGCGTGGAACCCGGAATCACGGTTCACTCGGCCCGAGTGTGACTCCCGTGTGGACGGGCCTGTCCGCCTCGCGCTCTGTTGCTCAACGCGGGGCCGTGTCGTCTGTGAACCACGTGGATGGAAAACGGACAATCACCCGCGTCTCGGCTCATTGCTCTCATTCCTTGGGAGGCGGAATTCGTCCGAATTGCTCCGGGATGAAGTGACCCGGGCCGGCGATCCGGAGGGCTGGTGAGCTGGTGGGCGCCCCGCAAGCAGACGCGGCTGTGGGCCGAGCTCTCGGCCTGCACCGGGCACCCCACGTTTTCCCGGAGTGCGAGGTCCCGCTGGCCCTGGAGGCGGAAGACCGCTTTCCTCTCTGCTTTCCTCTCTGCTTTCCTCTCTGTCTCTTGCTCCCTTTCTCCCTCTGTCCTTCCCTCCCTCCCTCCTCCTTCTCTCCCTCCCTCCCTCCCCGCTCCCCACTTTCTCCTTTCCAATGTCCCTCTATCCATCCGTCCTTTTCTCGCTCCATTCCTCCCTTTCTCTCTGTCTCTGTTCCTCTCCCCATCTCTATTTTTCAACATTATATGATCCCATTGTGTGTATCTGTGTGTTAACATTTTTTAGCAATAAAATTCATTTTCATTATGTACATTGTTATTTAGACACATTATTTATGTATGTGCATTTGTTTAATAGACATAATTTATTTCAGCGTTATTCTACAGCAGAGTGTAAGCATAACTCATAAGCAGTGTCAACCCAAAAATTGTGTGACTCGCGTTACTGTGATTCTTTTATACTGCAGTGCTCGAGAATAAAATCTCTGTATCTCCAATTCATATCTGTGTATTACCATTGAATTGGCCCCATTTCCTGTAGTGATAGAACACTATTCCCGCACTATGACAAGAGCTGTGGGCTGTGGGGAGGTCAGGGATAGGATGACACGGAAGTGACGATAAGACATTCTCTTTTTCACATTTTTATTAAATACAAATTCCATATGAAAGAAATTTAAAATTCCAAACAACATTGTTTATTTCATTACATAAAATGAAAATTATAAAGCAACCAAACAATTAATACACTTAGATAATGAAATAGTGTATGATCTCAGTACAAAATACAAGTAGAATATACGTCAAATATAACAAAATACACTGTATTGTAGTACGTGATGAAATCTCCATATCCTGCAATATAGTACAATCAATTGAAATGTATAAAATATAATAAAATATAAATTTAGGATGTTTAAAATGAAATGAAACATGAGGCAGGTCAATAAATAAGTACAATCATTTACCATTTACTATATCTTGACTTAAATTTTATGTAGAAATATTAAAAGTAAACAGCTTGCATAGTAATTTTACTATAATTATATCAAACTAAAAATATATAGACATTTTCCCACAGGGAGTGCTATTAATGGTTTGTGGATATTAGTACTCCATGGGTTCAGGCTGGAAGAGTGAGAGCCTACAACCTTTTCTGGATTAAAAGAGAAGCAATTTCTTGGTAAGGCGGCTCATGCCTGTAATCCCAGCACGTTGGGAGGCGGAGGCTGGCAGATCACCTGAGTTCGAGGCCAACCTGGCCAAAGTGACAAAACTCTGTCTCTACTAACAATACAGGAAAAAAAAAATTAGCCAGGCATAGCAGTACATGCCTGTAGTCCCAGCTGCTTGGGAGGCTGAGGCATGAGAATTGTTTGAACCCAGGAAGCAGAGGTTGCAGTGAGCTAAGATTGTGCCACTGCACTCCAGCCTGGGTAACATAGCAAGACTGTCTCAAAAAAAAAAAAAAACAAAAAAGGAGCACATAATTTTATATTTACTTTTCTACAATCTAAAATATGCAAATTCACGATTACATTCTAATGTTTTTCTGATTATATAGAAATGCATGACTGTCATCAGACATCCAAAAGGCATCAAATGTCTAACATGAAATATAAAATTTGTCTATAGTCTTAGCGGTCTGCAAAATTCAGGGCTCTCACCATTCTGAGTATACCGCTCAAGTTTCTTTCCTATGACTTCTTCAGGTTCTGTCATTTATTAACACAGTGTGTCTAAAATTGTCACTGCTGGTCATCTGGAAGAATCTGAGAAGAAGCAGATCCTTGTTCTCATTCCCAGAGCTGCATCTCTGCTGAATAGGGTCAGGGTGCTCACAGCTTAGCCTCATCTGATCCACTGACAGTCTCAGTTATCTCCTGCCCAGGGAAGGGATGGGCTTCTCTATCCAGGGCTGATTCCCCAGGACCTGGCAGTGTGGCTGGGACAAGCCAGCTCTCAGCAGGGAAGACATAAGCTGCCTGGGTGGCCATGGAATACAAGGTCTGCACCTGGGCACACAGAGGCCCCCGGAGCCGAGTGAGCAGTGTCAGCTGCTCACAGGTAAGTGGAGAATGGATCTGCTGTGCCCACACCTGGGCTAGGTCTTGATAAACAGCCTCTGACATAGCTCGCACAGAAGTCACCAAGCTTTTTCGAATTGACGGTGTTTGGACTCCTAGGGCCCGAGACCTATGCCGCTTGCTGTGCCCAGTGCAAGCCCTGGAATGTCCCCTATGGTGGGCATCACAGGTCTCCTGGATTTCACTGTTGTGCACAGCAGTGGAGGATCTTGATTTTTTATTCAATGACAAGCTGCACTCCTTTTCTGGACAGTTCCCTGCAAAGAAAGCATGTGAGAGACTCACCAGAGCAGTCCCCACAGACCCTGATTTCCAGAACCCCCTGTACACCCAGGTGAACCCCACTTGTCTCTCCCACTCCTTCCTGACCATCTCAGCACTGGAATGAAGTGAGGCTGAACCCCCTGTGAGTCCCCAAATATTCTCAGAGTGCTAAGATCTCAAAAATTTACTCGTCAATAAGTAACTCCCTTTCCGCTCAAGCCTCGTATAAAAGTTTCCTGATTATTTGCCTTTTGGGGCAAACCAAAAACAAAAAAACCACCACCACCAACAACAAACACCAAGATTCTACCTGCTGTGTCTTGGCAGCTGTCCTTGGAACTCATTTTTCTTTTCCTGCAGTTTTCCCGATATGAGCTGGACTCTGGTTCTGTGAACACAATGAGAGTTTGAGAAAGTGCCTCCAACTGAACACCCTGAAATTCCTAGTCCATCCTGGACACACAGGAGCTGAGGTTACCACCAAACCCCAGCTCTCTTCTGTTCTCCAGTGTCCAGGATCTGTACGGCCCTGGCTGCCAAGGAGCTCCCAGTTTCCTTGCCAGGGGAGCCTGTGTTGCTTCCCTGTCCCTTCTCACCTTGAAAGAGTCAAATCTTACCTGATCCAGCAGTGCTGTTCCCGGCCTTGAGCTTGGTTTCCTCAGAATTCTCCTTGTTTGGATTGGGCTCCGATCCTGCTGCAAGAGAAGGTTTAGGTGACTCACCTCTCCCTAGGCAGAGTCCCACAGTCTATCTCTGATGCATTTTTGCGGATCAGTCTTTCATGTGAAGCTCTTCTGCCAGTGTCACGAGTGAACACATTTCTCAAGTCCCCTGAGGGCACTAAGCCATTTCCCATCCCCAAATCTCAAAATAAAACCCTGCTAAAGACACAGCTCAGTATCCCTGATTCCAACCCTCCTTCCAGACTCCACAGGAGCAGCCCAAGGCCTTACCTTGCCTTTGTATGTGCTTCTCACTGGAATGGGAGAAGGCGGTCTTGCCTTTTTCTTTGAATGGTTTCTTCTCATCTGAGCCCTTTTCTGTAAAGGAGATCTGTTGGAAAGGGGGCTGGTCAGTGGAGCACTGGATGGAGGAGCAGTGGAGATCGGAGTCTTCATTTCCCTTTCCCATGTTGAAGCTCAAGTGAAAGGTGCGCTCTCTCTCACGTCCAAAGGCAGAGTGTGGGTTAGTCTGCTAGACCTGCCTTTTATACGTCCCTCGGCTGGGCGTGGCTTACTCTTATTGGCTGAAGAGTTTTCTCATTCCTGCCGCTTCTTAGAGCCTCAATCAGAAGTTTCTTGCTGTAGTTCTACTGGGGACCTAGACACAGTTAAAGGGAGACATTTTCAGGATCCTGTCATGGTGTCCAGAAAACAAAGAACCGGGAGCACAGGGACCGGAAAATCGGGGAAGCATTTCTTCCTATTTCTGTCCCAGTTCCTACCTGGAAGGATTTATGATCCTGTTCACCTTTCAAGATGCACAATTAAACATGCCTATATTGTCATATGTTATATATTTTGCACAGAAAGAGAATTTATTATACATAGTGTTAACATTGTATGCATAGATATTATAATTTCTTAAATGCTTGGAAACAACAAATGTCAAATTATGGTTGATTGTATTAGGTCCACACATATATGATGAAATAAAAATGCAGAGAAAAAATAAATACCAAATGAAATGGCCCTTCCTACCTTAAAAATGGGGAAGATAATTAGATCAAATGCAATAAAATTGAATTGATTAGGTTGAGTCAGTGCTAACCTAATTAGCCCCCGATTCCTGAGGTAGCAAAAAGTCTCGGTGGAAAAACTTTCCCCCATTCTCACCCTTCCTCAGTCATCCTGGGAGCGCCATTGTGTTCTGTGGGCTTTATTCAGCCCTCCCTAGTGAAAATGGACTTGGTCTCAAACAGGTAACCCAACTGATCACAAGACAAACAGCCTAGATTCTGAACATCAGCTCCTGTCTTCACACTGCGGACACCACCTGAATCCCGTCAAAGCCCACATTGATTCTCAACATCCACCAGCAAGACGTATTCCAGGGCAGCCTCTCAAAACTGCCTCAGTGAGACAGGACAAGGTGTGGTGGAGCTCCAGGTTCAGAACAGCTGCCTCATCCCTTCCTACTGCGGCGGAGTCTGTCTCTGCTGGTCAGAGCCCTCCAACTAGCCTAGTCTATGTCCAAGCAAGTGTCCCCTAAAAGGACCTTCTTGTCTCCCCCTCTGCTGAGGAAAGCATGCAGGAACGAGACCTTCTATGTTAAGGAGTACTCAGCCTCCAGTCCCAAATGACTTGATTGACTGATGAACTGATTCCTTGAGGAGGAGAAAGTCACAGGGAAGAGACTGTGTTGGGTGAGTCTGTGTTTTCCCAGCTGTGCTGCCTGTGCAAATAGTGGAACGAAAAAAGAATTAGTGGTAGACAGACACTGCCTAGTGAAATTGTCTGAAAGTAAATGGAACTTATCATAATATGATATCGTTATATATTATAATATTATGATATGAAATTTGACATCTAAATAAATTTTGATATATTATGAAATAATATATAAAATTTGGTCAGGTAATTTCATAAATTTTGTAACAACATTAACCTATAAACTCAATAGAAAGCTAGGAAAATTGTCTGCTCTTGTGTAAATGACTGCGTTTTGGATAACTCTGTAAAAGCTGTGAAGAGGGGTCTGCTACTTACGTGATAGTAAGTACTTGATAAGACATCGACTTGCACATCTTTGCTGTTTTTAACCAATGCTCTCTCAAGATATGAGAATATTTTACTCTAAGAAAGTATTTTCCTAGATATCGTAATAGGAATTTTGTTAATTTTAGTTAATAAATTATTACAACATTTAGTGATTATTAATAATTTATGTCATTGTTAAAATATATTCCTACAGAGAACATATTACCCATGTGTTTTTATTTGTCCTTTAATCTCAGGTAAATTTTTTAAATTTTTATTTATTAAATTCTATTTATTTTAGACAAAAGAGACCTTGTAACTGCCATATGATGTACTTTCTTAGAAAGAGAAATTCTCAGGCAAAACTTAGGACTGGCTGGGCATGGTGGCTTATGCCTGTAATCCCAGCACTTTGCGAGGCCAAGGCGGGTGGATCACCTTAGGTCAGGAGTTCAAGGCTAGCCTAGCCAACATAAGGAAGCCCCATCTGCACTAAAAATACAAAAAAAAAAATTAGCTGAATGTGGTGGCTCATGCCTGTAGTCCCAGCTAGTTGGGAGGCAGGAGGATTGCTTGAACCCGGGAGGCAGAAGTTTTGGTGAGCCGAGATCAATCCACTGCACTCCAGCTGGGCGACAGAGCAAAACTCCATCTCAAAAAAAGAAAAAACTCAGCCTTATTTTTATCAAAATCTAGATTGTAAATGACATTTCTAGGTGTCCCCTTTCAATAAAAATCCAAACCAAAACAAACAAAAAGCTTCTAGGTAATTCATATGAATATTAATAACTGTTAAATTGGGTACTTTTATTTTTAAGAGAGGGATTGTTTATATGGATGTGTTGATGTATCAAACATGTACAGTTAAAATTGTACCTTTTTTTGACAGAGCCTCACTCTGTCCCTCTGGAAGGAGTGCAGTGGTGCAATCACAGCTCACTGCAGCCTTGACCTCCCAGACTCCAGTGATCCTCCCAAGTCAGCCTCTCAAATAGCTGTGACTAGAAGTGTGCACCACTATGCCCAACTAACTTTTAAAAAATTGTTGTAGAGATGAGGTCTCACTCTCTTGCCCCAGTGAGGCCTTGTTATGTTGCCTAGGCTGGTCTCAAACTCCTGAGCTCTGGCTTCCAAAGTGATGAGGTTACGAATGTGAGCCACCATGCCCAGCCAAGATTAGACCTTTCAATGAGTGCACATCTTACCTCAAAAAAAAAAAAAAGAAAAGAAACTTATTAAAAGATAAAGTCTGAGTTAAAAGTGGGTTCACACTAATGATTTTTAGTTTGGTACTTCTATTGTTAAAAGAGGGATTGCTTATATGGGTGTGTTTATGTGTAAAAAGCTAGTTAAGGTCGAACCTTTATTTATTTTTTTTTTGAGACAGAGTCTCACTCTGTCACCCAGGCTGATGTGCAGTGGCACAATCACAACTCACTGTAGCCTCAAACTCGTAGAATCAAGGGATCCTGCTATGTCAACATACCAAGTAGCTGGAACTACAGGCATGCACCACCGCGCCTGATTAATTAAAAAAAAAATTTAATAAAGATGTGGTCTCACTATGCTGCCCAGGCTGCTCTCAAACTCCTGACCTCAAATGATCCTCCTGCCTTGTCATTCCAAAGTGATGGGATTACACAGGCTTAAGCCATTGTGCTCAGCCAAGATTTTACCTTCAATGAGCACACATTTTATACCACAAAAAATAATAATAAATAACAAAGTCTGTGTGAGAAATGAGTTGAAGTATAGATAACACAAAATTGGCATGTTATTAGTTGTTGTTGAGCCTGGGTAACAGGCCTATTGTACTGTTTCTTTTATTTTGTGTATGTTTTAAATTTTCTGTAATAAAACATGTATAATAATACAAAGTTGATCTACACTGTTAGCTCTTAAGATCTTAGTGACTTTGGGGGAGCAAAAGAGAGAAAGTGGTTACCAGGACATCTGTGAAGCTGGTTCTATTTCTAGGTTACACACGTGTGTTCACTTTGTAATAATTCATTGAACTTTACATGATTTCTTTGTATACGTCTTTCTGCATGAATGTTATACATATATAAAAATTTAAATATTACCTATTTGCACAAAATTTTAACTTCATATCTCAGAATAATAGCACTGTTTTGTACTGTTTTAAAGTGGGACATGTTTTCTCGGGGCATCATCAGATGGATATTAATATTCCAAGGTATTTACTTATGTTGTAACACTTCGGTGACCTTCTAGGTCTTCCCATGTTTACATCAATTTAGTAAGTAAGATAGTTTTAATTTTTTAGGGTATAGGCCAAGCACGGTGGCTCATGCCTACAGTCTCAGCTCTTGGGAGGCCAAGGCAGGAGGATCATTTGAGTCCAGTATTTTGAGTTTTTTTAGGATGCAATTATTATTCAGCAAAGTCCTCTCCCCACGGTGAGGTTCAGCAATGCAAGGGCACCTAGTGCATACTATGCATTTGGTATGAGTAGAACTGGATTGAATCAGGAATAAAATACGTAGCAGAGGTCAGTTCGGCAAGGAAAAGTAGGTAATGCAGGTAAGATCAGAAGAGCACAACCCAGCAGCAAATCTTTCCATTTATTTCAGGAACCCGTTTGCCACTAGTTCACCGGAAGAGGCTGATTTAAACCATTCATTTCAGGAAACCATTTGCCACTAGTTCACCAGAAAAGGCTGATTTAAACCATTCATTTCAGGAAACCATTTGCCACTAGTTCACCCGAAGAGGCTGATTTAAAGCAGCAGTTTGGGGGCTTGGTTGTACCCCATAGTCACCCAGAGAGCTTTAAACAGCACTATGGCTCAGGTCCCACTGCAGGGATTCTGAGTTCACTTATCTATTGCCTTTTGAGTTTAGGTAATTTTAAAAGCCTCCCTGGTGATTCCTGTGTGCACCCAGGGGGAACAACCCCTGGTTCGGGATGAGAAATGCATTTGCTGTGCATGCATTCCATGTGTGCAGCGGTGATTTGCCCCATGGCCACTCCTGAGTTTGGGGTCTTAGAAAATACACTTGTCCTGTTAAAAATCAAAAAACTACTTCAAGACACACTCAGCTGTTTGACTAAAATGCAGCAGGAGAAAATATCTTCTCAAAAGATGTATCTGGATGGCACTTGCTTTCAGAGTAAAAGGTGGTTTCAAGCACAATATAGCACTTTTTTCCTACAGGCTTTCAAGGCCTTTTACTATCATATCCTTATGAATCACAGGAATAAAAAAATCATAGTTATATAACTGTCAAATATTGTATTAGGAAAAAAATTAAGGGCATGTCTTCCATGCTCATGTATCCTGATTAAAATCAGTTAAGACCCATCTGCCCGGTGTGGTGGCTCACACCTGTAATTCCAGCACTTTGAAAGGCAGAGGCTGGAGGATCACTTGAGCTCAGGAGTTCAAGACCAGCATGCTCAACATAGAAAAACCTCATCTCTGCCAAATATACAAATATTATCTGGTTGTGGTAGTGTGCACGTGTGGTCCCAGCTACTTGGGAGGCTGAGGTGGGAGAATCGCTGGAGCACAGAATGTCAAAGCTGCAGTGAACCACTGCACCCCAGCCAGAATGACAGGGAAAGAGACCCTGTCTCAGAAATAAAAATAAATAAAGAGACCCATTCTTTCAGACACCCTCATTCTTCTACATAAAACACGGTGCTTTTGACTGAAATGTTTTAAGATGAACTGAAGATTCTCCCATAATCAGGAGCAGTAGATGGAGGTTGCTCCCTTCCTGTTCTTTGAGTTGAAGCAAGGCAGAGGTCTGGAGACTCAAACTGGTAAGTACTCAAACTGGTAAATATATCAATTGCTTTCTTTTCATATGAGGTATTAAGCTATTCTTGCATTGCTATTTAAAAAACCTGAGACTGGGTAATTTATAAGAAAAGAGTTTGATTGGCTCATGGTTCTGCAGGCTGTACAGGAAGCATAGCACCAGCGTCTGCTTCTGGGAAGGCCTGGGGAAGCTTACAATCATGGTGAAAGAGAAGCAGGCATCTCACATGGTAGAAGCAGAAACAAGAAAGATGGGGGAGGGATGGGCCACACTTCTAAACAACCAGATCTCACGAGTACTCACTATCACAAGGATGGCACAGATCCATGAGGGACTCACCCAGTGATTCAACCACCTCCTCCCCAGGTCCCACCTGCCACATTGGGGATTAAAATTCAATATGAGATTTGGAGGGGACATCTAAACTATATCACATGACCATCAGAAAAACAGATGAAGAATTCATGGTTTCTACTGTCCAGTAACTTTTCATCTAGAGCAAACAGATTAATGGCTGAATTCAGCATCCTGTGGTCGGAAGGGAAACGGATTAATGGCTGAATTCAGCATCCTGTGGTCGGAAGGGAAATGGATTAATGGCTGAATTCAGCATCCTGTGGTCGGAAGGGAAATGGATTAATGGCTGAATTCAGCATCCTGTAGTCGGAAGGGAGAAGGGAGCTGCACAGGGGGCCTTGGCTGCATTTGCTCCATTTCCCTTATGCTGTTCCTTGAGTTCCGATGTCACTACCTGAAGGACTATTCATGGACAGAAGAATTATTGTTGTTGTTGTGATTATTTCTATTTCTTTTATCTTGGTAAAAATAAGTTTTTAGCTTCTCATATAATTGTCCTAAAAAACCCTAAGAGTTTTGCTTAAGTTTCTTGTTATCATGTGTTATAAAAATTGACAGGGAAGTGGCTAAAACAGATTAAAATTACACAAGCTCTAAGAGTCAAGTCTCTGTTGGGAAGGCTTAGGAAAGACAGAACTGGAAATACTCCACCAGCATGAACATCAGAAACATGGGGTCCACTTTCTGTTCCAGCCCTGCCCAGATCCACCCTCTTCTAAGGCCTCATCCAGGTCTGGCCTCACCCTAGAATCTTCTCTCACAGAACTCATTAAAGGAGACCAGAGATTCGGGCGGGGGCTCCTGCTGCCTCTCCTGAGCTGGTGCCCACAATTTCCTAAAATGGAAAAGCAGATAAGTGGAAGCAAATAATTCTATATTGGGGGGTTATACTTTCTTTTTCATTGAAGCCAGCGCTTCTAGAGACACCTCACCTAGCAACTTGTTTTCCATTCCTGCAAATTCAGTAGCTGCTCCACAAGGCACAAGAAGGTAAATATAAATATAAAACATCTCTCTGAACAGTTCATCCTTTTTTCTCTATCCCTTCATCTGTCGATATAGCTTTTATTCTGCACATTTTATTTTCCAGGTAAATAATTTTTAAAATGGAAGAAAAAATAGAAATGCTAGGCCCTTCATTTAAGTCCTGAAAATTACAGAAAACTTAGCACCCAACTCCCCAGGGTGCTATGAGGATTAACTCACATCATGTAATGTTTCCTGAACAGTGCTCTGTAACAGACTTCTGAACACATAGTATGTGCTCAATAAACATTGTATTAACTCATGTGTACATGTTTTCCAAATGCAGACTTACTCAAACATTGATGCCTTCTCTAGGCTTTCTAAACTGCAAAGAGCCAGCAGAAAATGACATGTTTGAAAATGGCGATTGGTGGCTTCCACTTTGAGCCAAAAGTATTTGTGTTGTGGTAACAGTGTTGGGTGTCAGGAGCTCTGTGCTGTGCCTACTTTCTCTAGCTGAGTGCTACTATATTGGATGTAGTGGAAGAAACATCAGCATTAAGAGGAGACTTTTTAAAGAAGCCAATTCATGGACCGCTTCCAAACCTGCAGAATCACATTACTAAGAGAGAGCCTGGAATCGGAAATAATTCATATGCACATTGAAACTTGAGAGGCAGCCGGGTGTGGTGACTTATGCCTGTAATCCCAACACTTTGGGAGGCGGAAGTGGGCAGATAACCTGAGGTCAGGAGTTCAAGACCAGCCTGGGCAACATGGCCAAACCATGTCTCTACTAAAACATACAAAAATTAGCCAGGTGTGGTGGCTGGTGCCTGTAATCCTAGCTACTCGGGTGGCTGAGACTGCAGAATCCCTTGAACCTGGGAGGTGGAGGTTGCAGTGGGCCAAGATGGTGCCACTGCACTCCTGCCTGTACAATGAGTGAAAACTCTGTCGAAAGAAAAGAAAGAAAGACAGACAGACAGAAAGAAAGAAAGGAAGAAAGAAAGAAAGACAGACAGACTTGAGAGGCAAGGCTTAGCTAAGTGGCTCTCGGCCCATGCTTCCAGCCATAATCACATGGCCAGCTTAAAGAAATACCATCACTTGTGCCCTCCCCAGAGACTCTGTCTATTGATCTTGGTGGGAGCATCTATGTGGTTGTAATTAGAAAGTCAAATTGTCCCTCTTTGATGATAATATAATATCATATATACAAAAATTCTAAAGACCACCAAAAAACTCAGATTTGATAAATAAATTTAATAATGTTTCAGGATGCAAAAATCAACGTACAAAAGTTGATAGCATTTTTATACACTAATGATGATCAAGCTGAGAACTGAATTAAAAAGTCACTTCCTTTTACAATAGCTACAAAAAAAGGTAAAATGCTTAGAAATACAATTGGTCAAAGAGATGAACGATCCCTTCAAGGAAAACTACAAAACACTGATGAAAGAAATTGTACATGACACAAATGAGAAAAACATCCCATGCTTATGGATTGGAAGAATTATGATCAATAAAATGACTCTACTGCCCAAAACAATCTACATATTAAATGCAATTCCTACCAAAATGCCAATGGTATTTTTTATAAAATTAGAAAAAAAACCCACTAAAATTCTTATGGAACCACAAAAAGAGCCTGAATAGTCAAAGCAAATCTAAGCAAAGAGAATAAAGCTGGAGATATTACATTATCTGACTTAAAATTATGCTAGAAGGCTGTAGTAACCAAAACAGCATGGTACTGATATAAATCGACACATAGATCAATGGTACAGAATAGAGAACCTAGAAATAAAGCCACATACCTACAAATGACTGATCTTTTACAAAGTCAACAAAAACACACACTGGAGAAATGACATCCTATTCAACAAATTGTGCTGGAAAAATTATATTTCCGTATGCAGAAGAATGGAATGGGACCCCTATGTCCCACCATATACAAAAATCAACTCAATATGGATTAAAAGACTAAAATGTAAGACCTGAAACTATAAAAATGCTAGAAGAAACTCTAGGATAAACTCTTCTAGACATTGACTTGGACAAAGAATTTATGACTAAGATCTCAAAAGCAGATGTAACAATAACAAAAATAGACAACAGCAACTCAATTAAACTAAAAAGCTCCTGAAAATGAGCTTCCTAATTAACACAGTGAACAGAAAACCTATGGAATGAGATAAATGTTTACGAGTTTTGCATGTGACAAAGATCTAATGTCCAGAATATGCAAGGAACTCAAACAACTCAACAAAAATAAAACAAGTAACCTCATTAAAAAGCAAGCAAAGAACATGAACATTAAAAAAAAGAAAGACACTGATGGTCAATGGTCAACAAGCACGTAAAAGATGCTCAACCTTGTCAATGATCAGAGAAATGCCAATTAAAAACCACAATGAGATACCAACTTACACCCTGCAGAATGGCTATTACTAAAAAGCAGAAAAATGAGCTATCGGCAAGGATACAGGGAAAAGAGAACACTTATACATTGTTTGTGGGAAAGTAACTTTCTACAACCTCTGGAAAACAGTATGGAGATTTCAAAATAGACTAAAAATAGAACTTCCATTTGATTCAGCACTCCCACTACTTGGTATCTACCCAAAGGAAAACAATTTGTTACATAAAGAAAATACCCATGCTGACATGTTTATCACAGCACTATTCATAATAGCCGATATATGAAATCAATTTAAATTTATCAATCAATAATCGAATAAAGAAAATGTGCTATACAAGTATACCATGGAATGCTACTCAGCCATGAAGAATAAAATCATGTCTTTTGCAACAACATGAATAAAACCGGAGGCCATTACTGTAAGTGAAAAAACTCAGAAACAGAAAATCAAATTCAGTATTTTCTCAGTTGTAAGTGGGAACTCAATTAAGCATACACTTGGATATAGAGACTGGAAAAATAGACACTGGAGACTCAGAAAGATGGGAGGTTGGAGAGGGTTTAGGAATGAGAAAATAACTAATTGGGACAATAAACAACATTCAGATGATTGTCACACCAAAAGCCCATACTTCATCACTATGCAACATGCTTCTGTAAGGGAGCGGCATTTGTACTCTCTCACGTATTAATAAAGAGATAAAAAAAAAGGCCTGGTGAGGTGGCTCAAGCCTATAATCCCAGCACTTTGGGAGGCTGAGGAGGGCGGATCACGTGGTCAGGAGTTCAAGACCAGCCTGGCCAATATAGTGAAACCCCATCTCTACTAAAAATACAAAAATTAGCCAGGCGTGGTGGCACATGCCTGTAGTCCTAGCTACTTGGGAGGCTGAGGCAGGAGAATCACTTGAACCCGGGAAGCGGAGGTTGTGGTGAGCCGAGATTGTGTCACTGCACTCCAGCCTGGGGAACAGAGGGAGACTCCGTCTCAAAAAAAAAAAAAAGAGAGAAAAAAAAAAACTTTGGCTTTTATCAAGAGGACAAACTGAATAGACCTCATAATTTTCATAAATAATTAGATTAGGCAAAAAATTTTAATAAAAATAAATAGAAAATAATATTGTATTTTAAGAATGGTATAGAAAGATAATTTGATGAATTAGAGTAGTTAGTACTTAGCACATACAATATGTTAGGCAAGATTCTAAGCCACTTAGACCTTTATGGACAGAATACATAACAGAGTAAAATAAATAACACAAAGATTCTTTGGCAATGAAAAATTGACATATTTTCAATCATATTAGATGATATTAAAACCATTAACAAATTTACTGTTTTGTTTCATAATAAAAAAGAATGTTAAATAACTTCATTAAAAAGTTGGCTAATTAGGCATATAGATAAATGGGCAGCATTTTGACCAGTACACAGGGGATACACATTTTCAAAGACCAGACAAAATTATTTATTTATTTTTTGGGGGAGAGGACAGTTTTATTATCTGGGGATACAGTGGGGTCCTCTCCCTGGGAGGTGGGTCTTCCACTGGTTTTCCCCGCCAGGGCTCCAGGGGGCGCCATGCGATTCAGCGCTGGGCTCCGCTGGGGGCCGGGCCTTGGAGGAGGCGAACCGTGCAGGGAAGCGGCAGCCGTGGGGTCCTCACCGCCCGCTCCGCCGGGCTGCACCCGGCCCCCTGGTGCTCCTCAGGCTCCCGCCGAGTCTGCGTCTCTGGAGGGCAGCGAACCATCCTGCCCAGAACCTTATCCTCACAGTCCATTTTGACGCAGGTCAGGCATTTCTGCTTCCTCCTCTCGGGCTGGGCTTTGCACTTGGGTTTCTTCCAGGCCTTCCTCCAGCCGCTTCCCTGTCTGCCGGAGCTTAAATTCCAGCCTCACAGATGTTCCAGCTGGGAAGGGCGTGTCCAGGGCGCTGTCCACACTGGTCTCCCGGAAGGCCCGCTGCACGGGCGGGTGCTTGCAGATTCCTCCAGGGCCACCTGCAGGCCCCGGCGCTGGCCCCGTGAGCTCGGCCCCTCCCGCGTCCCCCGCGCCCACCCACGGGGCCAGCGAGATCCGCAGCCGTCTCAGGCTTCCCCTGTCACCCCGGCCCTGCGAAGCGGGTGTGCGCCCCTTAGTTCTCCGAGCCCGCCGGGAGCCACCTCCTCCCCTGCCCCTGGAGGGGGCCACGCCCGCAGAACGCTGGGCAGAGACGAAGGAACCGGGAAACGTCCCTTTCTCCACACTGACCTTCGGGTCTGCTGGGTCCTCTCCACTCCCTCCCACCCTGCCCGCGCTGGTCCCTGGGGCCCGCAGTTTCAGCAAAGTTCCCTGCCGCGCCGGGAAGCCGTCCTGTTGCCCACTCTCACCCTTCCTCCTTTTCCGGCCCATTCTCTCTCCCCACTGGGTCTCCGACACGACCCTCTCTCCTCCCGGCTGTCCCCGAGCCCCTCTCTGCTTCCCCAGCTCAGCCCCCTCTCTGACGGCTTCTCCCTCCCACCCCCAGGCGAATCTCCGGGCTCCCACGGGGTGCCCCCGATCCCCGGGGTCTAGGTCAACCAGACAAAATTATTTTAAATGGGAAGATTTGAATTCCATTGAATTCATGAAAGCAGGAATCCATCTGGTCATATTTTAAATAATTTTGAAATGATAATAGCAATTATCAATTTAAAGTTTAACCAGAATTCAGAATAACCACCATTTTACCAGAAAAAAAAAAACCTGTTATAACTAACCAACTAAGTCAGTAAATTCTCAGGATACAATATTAACATATGAACATCAGTTGCATTTTTTTTACAGTAACAACAAAATATCTGAAACAGGAATAAAGATAGTTCCATTTACAATATTATCAAATAGAATGAAATACTTAGGAATGAGTTAACAAAGAATATGAAAGATCTGCATACTGAAAACTATAAAATGTTGAGGAAAGAAAATGAAGAATACAAAATGGGAAATATGTGTTCATGGATTCTAAAAATTAATATTGTTAAAATATCCATACTACACAAAGTGATCTACAGAGTTAAATTTTTATCAAAATTTTAATGCCATTTTATTAAAATGTAGAACGACAATTTTAAAATTAGTATGGAACCACAAAAGACCTCAAATAGCCAAATACTGAGAAGAACAAAAAGGCTGAAAGCCTCACACTTCCTGATTTCAAACTATATTACAAAGCTGTAGTCATTAATACAGTATAGTACCTACATAAAAACCAATAGAACAGAATAGAGGACCCAGAAATAAACTCACAAATATACATTCGACCAATCCCACAGAATGGAGAAAGGATAAACACATCAAGGAGTGGTGTAGGAAAAACTCGATATGCACAGACAAAAAGTAAACCTTTCTCTCATGTCATCACAAAATGAATTTGAAATGAAATAAAGACTTAAACATAAGAACTGAAATCATGAATCCTCTAAAAAAAAAAATGGGGAAAAGCCTCCTTGACACTGGTCATGGCAATGATGTTTCGGATTTGACACCAGGAGCGCAGTCAACAAAAGCAAAAATAAACAAGTGGAACTATGTCAAAGTAAAAATTTTCTGCACAATAAAGGAAACAATCAGCAAAATATAAAGGCATTATATGGAATGGGAGAAAATATTTGTAAACCATATGTAGGATAATATGTTACTATCCAAAATATATGTCATAGTAATCAATACAAAAAACCCACAGCAGAATTAAAAGCAATTTCTTGATTAATAATTGGGCAAAATATATAAATAGCAATTTTTCCAAAGATATACAAATGGCCAGCAGGTATATAAAAAATGCTCAACATCACTAATTATCACAGTAATTAAAATCACAATGAGGTATCACCTTATCGTGGTGTTTGGATACCTATTATCAAAAAGTCAAAAGATAAAAAGTGTTAGGGTGTGGAAAAAGAGAACACTTGTGCACTGTTGCTGAGGATGTCAATTGGTGCAGCTATTATGAAAAACAGTATGGAGGTTCCTTAAAATTGTTAAACTAGAACTACCATTAATCCCAATTAGGAGTATATAGCCAAAGGACATAAAATCAGGATCATCAAGGGTATCTGCATTCCTCTGATACAGATAAACTGAGAGACATAATTTCAGCTTTAATAAAAATGAAACTCTTTCATCCACAACAATATTGATAAATCTTGAAGACATTATGCTAAGTGAAATAAGCTGAATACAGAAAGACAACTACTGCATGATCTCGTTTGTATGTAAAATCTAAAAAAGTAAATAAAAATTTAAAAAAGCCATGGAAACAGTAGAACGCTGGTTCCCATGGGCTAGGAAGTGGGGAAAGTGGGAAGATTTCCATGGAAGGGGCGCACCTTCAGTTACAAGGTGAGTAACTGCTGGGGACCTAACGTACAGAATAGTGACTATAGTTAACAATACTGTGTACTTGAAATTTGCTGCAAGAGTAGATCTCAGGTGCTCTCACCACACACAGAGGCGTATTCACTATGTGAGGGGATAGACAGGCTAACTAGCTTAACTGAGGTGATTTAAAGACCACTGACATCTCAAAACACTCTATTGTACACCCTAAAAATACACACTTTTCAATTTGTCAATCATAGCTCAACGAATGGAGAAAAAAAATAAGAGTAACCAGCAGGTCATAGCTCGCCACACGGAAGCTCGATTTAAAACACGCTTGGCCGCTGTTCGCAGCTCAACTCGGGAA
>NT_187651.1:300000-391807 GCF_000001405.40 Homo sapiens
GGTATAAGCGGGCTCAGGAACATCATTGGACATACTGAAAGAAGAAAAATCAGCTGGGCGCAGTGGCTCACGCCGGTAATCCCAACAGTTTGGGAGGCCAAGGCAGGCGAATCACCTGAAGTCGGGAGTTCCAGATCAGCCTGACCAACATGGAGAAACCCTGTCTCTACTAAAAATACAAAACTAGCCGGGCATGGTGGCGCATGCCTGTAATCCCAGCTACTTGGGAGGCTGAGGCAGGAGAATTGCTTGAACCGAGAAGGCGGAGGTTGCGGTGAGCCAAGATTGCACCATTGCACTCCAGCCTGGGCAACAAGAGCGAAACTCCGTCTCAAAAAAAAAAGGAAGAAAAATATTTTTTTAAATTAATTAGTTTATTTATTTTTTAAGATGGAGTTTTGCCCTGTCACCCAGGCTGGGGTGCAATGGTGCAATCTCGGCTCACTGCAACCTCCGCCTCCTGGGTTCAAGTGATTCTCCTGCCTCAGCTTCCCGAGTAGCTGTGATTACAGCCATATGCCACCACGCCCAGCCAGTTTTGTGTTTTGTTTTGTTTTTTGTTTTTTTTTTTTGAGAGGGTGTCTTGCTCTGTCCCCCAAGCTGGAGTGCAGCGGCGCGATCTTGGCTCACTGCAAGCTCTGCCTCCCAGGTTCACACCATTCTCTTGCCTCAGCCTCCCGAGTAGCTGGGACTACAGGTGCCCGCCACCACACCCGGCTAATTTTTTTGTGTTTTTAGTAGAGATGGGGTTTCACTGTGTTAGCCAGGATGGTCTCGATCTCCTGACCTTTTGATCCACCCGCCTCAGCCTCCCCAAGTGCTGGGATTATAGGCGTGAGCCACTGTGCCCGGCCTAGTCTTGTATTTTTAGTAGAGTCGGGATTTCTCCATGTTGGTCAGGCTGTTCTCCAAATCCGACCTCAGGTGATCCGCCCGCCTTGGCCTCCAAAAGTGCAAGGCAAGGCATTACAGGCATGAGCCACTGTGACCGGCAATGTTTTTAAATTTTTTACATTTAAATTTTATTTTTTAGAGACCAGGTCTCACTCTATTGCTCAGGCTGGAGTGCAAGGGCACATTCACAGCTCACTGCAGCCTTGACCTCCAGGGCTCAAGCAGTCCTCTCACCTCAGTTTCCCGAGTAGCTGGGACTACAGTGATAATGCCACTGCACCTGGCTAATTTTTATTTTTATTTATTTATTTTTTTTTGAGACAGAGTCTTGCTCTGTCACCCAGGCTGGAGTGCAGTGGTGTAAATCTCAGCTCACTGCAGCCTCCGCCTCCTGGGTTCAAGTGATTCTCCTGCCTCAACCTCCCAAGTAGCTGGGATTAGAGGTCCCCACCACCATGCCTGGCTAATTTTTTGTACTTTCAGTAGAAACGGGGTTTTGCCATGTTGGCCAGGCTGTTCTCGAACTCCTGAGCTCAGGTGATCCAACTGTCTCGGCCTCCCAAAGTGCTGGGATTACAGGCGTGAGCCACTGTGCCTAGCATGAGCCACCACGCCGGCCTAATTTTTAAATTTTTTGTAGAGACAGGGTCTCATTATGTTGCCCAGGGTGGTGTCAAGCTCCAGGTCTCAAGTGATCCCCCTACCTCCGCCTCCCAAAGTTGTGGGATTGTAGGCATGAGCCACTGCAAGAAAACCTTAACTGCAGCCTAATAATTGTTTTCTTTGGGATAACTTTTAAAGTACATTAAAAGACTATCAACTTAATTTCTGATCATATTTTGTTGAATAAAATAAGTAAAATGTCTTGTGAAACAAAATGCTTTTTAACATCCATATAAAGCTATCTATATATAGCTATCTATATCTATATAGCTATTTTTTTTAACTTCCTTTATTTTCCTTACAGGGTTTTAGACAAAATCAAAAAGAAGGAAGGTGCTCACATTCCTTAAATTAAGGAGTAAGTCTGCCAGCATTATGAAAGTGAATCTTACTTTTGTAAAACTTTATGGTTTGTGGAAAACAAATGTTTTTGAACATTTAAAAAGTTCAGATGTTAGAAAGTTGAAAGGTTAATGTAAAACAATCAATATTAAAGAATTTTGATGCCAAAACTATTAGATAAAAGGTTAATCTACATCCCTACTAGAATTCTCATACTTAACTGGTTGGTTGTGTGGAAGAAACATACTTTCACAATAAAGAGCTTTAGGATATGATGCCATTTTATATCACTAGTAGGCAGACCAGCAGACTTTTTTTTATTGTGATATGGGATAACCTAGGCATACTGCACTGTACACTCTGACATATGAAGTGCTCTAGTCAAGTTTAACTGGTGTCCACAGAGGACATGGTTTAACTGGAATTCGTCAAGCCTCTGGTTCTAATTTCTCATTTGCAGGAAATGCTGGCATAGAGCAGCACTAAATGACACCACTAAAGAAACGATCAGACAGATCTGGAATGTGAAGCGTTATAGAAGATAACTGGCCTCATTTCTTCAAAATATCAAGTGTTGGGAAAGAAAAAAGGAAGTGGAATGGGTAACTCTTCTTGATTAAAAGTTATGTAATAACCAAATGCAATGTGAAATATTTTACTGGACTCTATTTTGAAAAACCATCTGTAAAAGACTGAGGTGGGGGTGGGAGGCCAGCACGGTGGTGAGGCAGTTGAGAAAATTTGAATGTGGATTAGATTTTGAATGATATTGGATAATTATTGGTAATTTTATGAGCTGTGAGAAGGGTGTTGTAGTTTATAAAAGACTGTCTTAATTTGCATACTTAAGCATTTAGGAATGAAGTGTTAGAGTGTCTTAAAATGTTTCAAATGGTTTAACAAAATGTATGTGAGGCGTATGTGGCAAAATGTTACAGAATCTAACTGGTGGACATGGCTGTTCATTGTACTGTTTTTTTCTATCTTCTATATGTTTAAAAGTATATAATAAAAATATTTAATTTTTTTTTAAATTAGCTGTATCTGTGATTGTATTTCTTTTTTGCATATTATTTTGCCCTTTGGCCCATATTTTGATATGGATGCCACCATAGCATTTTGTGTATGTGCATGTGTATTCCCACTTAATGTCACATTTTTCATGTCTTTACATATTCTTATTTTTGTTTGTTTTTGAGACAGAGTCTCGCTCTGCTGCCCACGCTGGAGTGCAGTGGTGCAATCTCAGCTCACTGCAACCTCTGCTATCCGGGTTCAAGCGGTTCTCGTGCCTCACCCACGTGAGTAGTTGGGATTACAGGCATGTGGCACCATGCCCCACTAAGTTTTGTATTTTTAGTAGAGATGGAGTTTCACCATGTTGGCCAGGCTGGTCTCAAACTCCTGCCCTCAAGTGATTCGACCACCCTGGCCTCCCAAAGTGCTGGGATTACAGCCGTGAGCCACCGCACACGGCCTCTCTATTTATTTCTATACATAGCTTTTCACATTATATTATGTTTATATATTGTTTATATCTGTATTTCCTCTTTCATTAGAGAAAAGGTAGTACATCTTATTCTTCATGGTGTCTACAATATCTGGCAGTTTTTGGAAGTCAAGCGTGAGCTTAGAGCATAGACTGGTGGGATTGTCAAAGAAGAGGGCAACTGGAAGAGAACTGTCAGTTATTTTTGGATCAGTCTTTAATTCATCATGACGGGTTAGGCATTAGTTGTATTTCTTGCTAATTTTGAAGAAGACTTATTAACAAATCCTACATTAGGTAAATGGTTTTGAAAGTTGAGTTAATCATAATGGTGTTTGACCTAGGACTATTTTTAGGCCCTATTTATCTTAATATCGAATAATGAAGCAGCTTCCCCCTTAGATATAGACAGAAAACATCAAAGCCACCACACTACCTGGCTGGATTTATCCTAGTAATAAAATCAAAACTGAGCTAGTTCTCTGGCTTTCATTGTAATAATTGTCCTTGTGGTTGTAAGGAATCTAGATGAAAATTACATGGTCTGTTCTACAGCCACAGCTGTACCTACGTTCAGAAGACAGACAAAAGTTGCTGTGTTTGAAGAGATCCTTCATTAAGGGATCAGACAGAGATTACTTTGAGACATATTCTAAGTTTAACTTTTCTGCAGGGTTGCCATTAACAGAAATAAACTACACAGTTAATTTCTTTTTGTTTTTGATACAGTCTAACTCTCACCCAAGCTGGAGTGCAGTGGCGCAATTTCAGCTCACTGCAACCTCTGCCTCCCAGGTTCAAGCAATTCTCCTGCCTCAGCCTCCCGAGCAGCTGGGACTACAGGCATGTGCCACTATGCCTGGCTAATTTTTGTATTTTTAGTAGTAGAGACGTGGTTTCGCCACGTTGGCCAGGCTGGTCTGGAACTCCTGACCCCAGGTAATCCACCTGCCTCGGCCTCCCAAAGTGCTGGGATTACAAGCTTGAGCCACTACGCCTGACCCAGAGTTAACTTTTTAAAAAAGTTTTTATGAACTTAAGTCTTGTGATGTTTGAAATAATGGATTCAATTTAGACATCAAATTCCAGAAGTTACTAAGAGCAGCTGGGCGCGGCAGCTCACACCTGTAATCCCAGCACTTTGGGAGGCCGAGGCGGGTGGATCACCTGAGATCAGGAGTTCCAGACCAGCCTGGCCAACATAGTAAAACCCTGTCTCTACTAAAAATACAAAAATTAGCCCGGCATGGTGGCACGCCCTGTAGTCCCAGCTACTTGGGAGGCTGAGGCAGGAGAATTGCTTGAACCCGGGAGGTGGAGGTTGTGGTGAGCCGAGATTGTGCCGCTGTACTCAAGCCTGGGCTAAAAAGCGAGACTCCGTCTCAAAAAAAAAAAAAAAAAAACACGTTACTAAGAGCAACTCTGGGCCAGGCACGGTGGCTTACACCTGTAATCCCAGCATTTTGGGAGGACGAGACAGGCGGATCACTTGAGCCCAGGAGTTCAAGACCAGCATAAGCAACAACGCAAAACCCCTGACTCTACAAAACATGAAAGAATTAGCAAGGCATGGTGGTGCATGCCTGTAGTCCCAGCTACTGGAGAGGCTGAGGCAAAAGGATCACTTGAGTACAGGAGGTTGAGGCTGTGTAATGAGCCGTGTTCACACCATTGCACTTCAGCCTGGGCAACAGACTGAGACCCTGTCTCAAAAAAAAAAACCAAACCAAAGCAACAAACAAAAAACAAGAGCAACTCTGCTTCTGTACACTTTTTTTTTTTTTTGGTAGTGACATGATCTATGTTGCCCAAGCTGGTCTCGAGTTCCTGGGTTCAAGCCATTCTCCCACCTCGGGCTCCCAAAGTGCTAGGATTACAGGCATGAATCACCATGCCCAGCCCTTCTGTACACTTTTCACAGTGTACCCTTTTGTGTTTTTTAAAATGTTTGTGTATACATTTATTGTGAATTTTTAAAAAACATGTAATTAAGGCCAGGCATGGTGGCTCATACCTGTAATCCTAGCACTTTGAGAGGCTGAGGTGGGTGGATCACCTGAGGTCGGTAGTTCGAGACCAGCCTGGCCCAACATGGTGAAACCCCATCTCTACTAAAAATACAAAAAAAAAATTAGCTCGGCATGGTGGTGGGCGCCTGTGATCCCAGCTACTGGAGAGGCTGAAGCATGAGAATCACTTGAACCCAGGAGGCGGAGGTTGCAGTGAGCCAAGATCGTGCCACTACACTCCAGCCTGGGTGACTCAGTGACTGTCTCAAAAAGAAAAAAAGTAATTAAGTTCTGTCATGATATATCATCATTACCCTTTTTGAACTTTTAAAATTTTTTATCTTTAGAGGTAATTCATATAATGTTCTTCAATAGATAAGTGCTTTTCTGTCAATATATCTTGGAGAACACACCATATCAGTATTTAAAACTCTCATTCTTCCTATTTCTCCACATCCTCTCCAGCACCCGTTGTTTCCTGACTTTTTAATGATTGCCATTCTAACTGGTGTGAGATGGTATCTTATTGTGGTTTTGATTTGCATTTCTCTGATGGCCAGTGATGGTGAGCATTTTTTCATGTGTTTTTTAGCTGCATAAATGTCTTCTTTTGAGAAGTGTCTGTTCATGTCCTTCGCCCACTTTTTGATGGGGTTGTCTGTTTTTTTCTTGTAAATTTGTTTGAGTTCATTGTAGATTCTGGATATTAGCCCTTTGTCAGATGAGTAGATTGCAAAAATTTTCTCCCATTTTGTAGGTTGCCTGTTCACTCTGATGGTAGTTTCTTTTGCTGTGCAGAAGCTCTTTAGTTTAATTAGATCCCAGTTTTGGCTTTTGTTGCCGTTGCTTTTGGTGTTTTAGACATGAAGTCCTTGCCCATGCCTATGTCCTGAATGGTAATGCCTAGGTTTTCTTCTAGGGTTTTTATGGTTTTAGGTCTAACATTTAAGTCTTTAATCCATCTTGAATTAATTTTTGTATAAGGTGTAAGGAAGGGATCCAGTTTCAGCTTTCTACATATGGCTAGCCAGTTTCCCAGCACCATTTATTAAATAGGGAATCCTTTCCCCATTGCTTGTTTTTCTCAGGTTTGTCAAAGATCAGATAGTTGTAGATATGCGGCGTTATTTCTGAGGGCTCTGTTCTGTTCCATTGGTCTATATCTCTGTTTTGGTACCAGTACCATGCTGTTTTGGTTACTGTAGCCTTGTAGTATAGTTTGAAGTCAGGTAGCGTGATGCCTCCAGCTTTGTTCTTTTGGCTTAGGATTGACTTGGCGATGCGGGCTCTTTTTTGGTTCCATATGAACTTTAAAGTAGTTTTTTCCAATTCTGTGAAGAAAGTCATTGGTAGCTTGATGGGGATGGCATTGAATCTGTAAATTACCTTGGGCAGTATGGCCATTTTCACGATATTGATTCTTCCTACCCATGAGCATGGAATGTTCTTCCATTTGTTTGTATCCTCTTTTATTTCATTGAGCAGTGGTTTGTAGTTCTCCTTGAAGAGGTCCTTCACATCCCTTGTAAGTTGGATTCCTAGGTATTTTATTCTCTTTGAAGCAATTGTGAATGGGAGTTCACTCATGATTTGGCTCTCTGTTTGTCTGTGGGTGGTGTATAAGAATGCTTGTGATTTTTGTACATTGATTTTGTATCCTGAGACTTTGCTGAAGTTGCTTATCAGCTTAAGGAGATTTTGGGCTGAGACAATGGGGTTTTCTAGATATACAATCATGTAATCTGCAAACAGGGACAATTTGGCTTCCTCTTTTCCTAATTGAATACCCGTTATTTCTTTCTCCTGCCTAATTGCCCTGGCCAGAACTTCCAACACTATGTTGAATAGGAGTGGTGAGAGAGGGCATCCCTGTCTTGTGCGTGTTTTCAAAGGGAATGCTTCCAGTTTTTGCCCATTCAGTATGATATTGGCTGTGGGTTTGTCATAGATAGCTCTTATTATTTTGAGATACGTCCCATCAGTACCTCATTTATTGAGAGTTTTTAGCATGAGGGATTGTTGAATTTTGTCAAAGGCCTTTTCTGCATCTATTGAGATAATCATGTGGTTTTTGTCTTTGGTTCTGTTTATATGCTGGATTACATTTATTGATTTGCGTATGTTGAACCAGCCTTGCATCCCAGGGATGAAGCCCACTTGATCATGCTGGATAAGCTTTTTGATGTGCTGCTGGATTCGGTTTGCCAGTATTTTATTGATGATTTTTGCATCAATGTTCATCAAGGATATTAGTCTAAAATTCTCTTTTTTGGTTGTGTCTCTGCCTGGCTTTGGTATCAGGATGATGCTGGCCTCATAAAATGAGTTAGGGAGGATTCCCTCTTTTTCTATTGATTGGAATAATTTCAGAAGGAATGGTACCAGTTCCTCCTTGTACCTCTGGTAGAATTCGGCTGTGAATCCATCTGGTCGTGGACTCTTTTTGGTTGGTAAGCTATTGATTATTGCCACAATTTCAGAGCCTGTTATTGGTCCATTTAGAGATTCAACTTCTTCCTGGTTTAGTCTTGGGAGGGTGTATGTGTCGAGGAATTTATCCATTTCTTCTAGATTTTCTAGTTTATTTGCGTAGAAGTGTTTATAGTATTCTCTGATGGTAGTTTGTATTTCTGTGGGATCGGTGGTGATATCCCCTTTATCATTTTTTATTGCGTCTATTTGATTCTTCTCTCTTTTCTTCTTTATTAGTCTTGCTAGCGGTCTATCAATTTTGTTGATCCTTTCCAAAAACCAGCTCCTGGATTAATTTTTTGAAGGGTTTTTTGTGTCTCTATTTCCTTCAGCTCTGCTCTGATTTTAGTTATTTCTTGCCTTCTGCTAGCTTTTGAATGTGTTTGCTCTTGCTTTTCTAGTTCTTTTAATTGTGATGTTAGGGTGTCAATTTTGGATCTTTCCTGCTTTCTCTTGTGGGCATTTAGTGCTATAAATTTCCCTCTACACACTGCTTTGAATGTGTCCCAGAAATTCTGGTATGTTGTGTCTTTGTTCTCGTTGGTTTCAAAGAACATCTTTATTTCTGCCTTCATTTCGTTATGTACCCAGTAGTCATTCAGGAGCAGGTTGTTCAGTTTCCATGTAGTTGAGTGGTTTTGAGTGAGTTTCTTATTCCTGAGTTCTAGTTTGATTGCACTGTGGTCTGAGAGACAGTTTGTTATAATTTCTGTTCTTTTACGTTTGCTGAGGAGAGCTTTACTTCCAACTATGTGGTCAATTTTGGAATAGGTGTGGTGTGGTGCTGAAAAAAATGTATATTCTGTTGATGTGGGGTGGAGAGTTCTGTAAACTGCTTCAACCACTGTGGAAGTCAGTGTGGCGATTCCTCAGGGATCTAGAACTAGAAATACCATTTGACCCAGCCATCCCATTACTGGGTATATACCCAAAGGACTATAAATCATGCTGCTATGAAGACACATGCACACGTATGTTTATTGCGGCACTATTCACAATAGCAAAGACTTGGAACCAACCCAAACGTCCAACAATGATAGACTGGATTAAGAAAATATGGCACATATACACCATGGAATACTATGCAACCATAAGAAATGATGAGTTCATGTCCTTTGTAGGGACATGGATGAAATTGGAAATCATCATTCTCAGTAAACTATCGCAAGGACAAAAAACCAAACACCGCATGTTCTCACTCATAGGTGGGAATTGAACAATGAGAACACATGGACACAGGAAGGGGAACATCACACTCTTGGGACTGTTGTGGGGTGGGGGGAGTGGGGAGGGATAGCATTAGGAGATATACCTAATGCTAAATGAGGAGTTAATTGGTGCAGCACACCAGCATGGCACATGTATACATATGTAACTAACCTGCACATTGTGCACATGTACCCTAAAACTTAAAGTATAATAATAAAATAAAATAAGAAAAATGCAAAAATTAAAAATTTAAAAAAAAGCTCTCATTCTTTTAAGCACTTACAGGATATTCTTACAGATGTGTACCACGCTTAATGAATTGAGCTCTTGTGGATGAGAGTTTAATTTGTTTCTAATCATTTGTTATTTAATAGTACAGTCAGCATCTTTAGGATTAAGTATCTAGAATTAGAACTACTGTGTTGAAGAGGCTATTGCATTTAAATTGTTTTTTTTTTTTTTTTGATACGGAGTCTTGCTCTGTTGCCCAGGCTGGAGTGCAATGGCGTGATCTCAGCTCACCGCAACCTCCGCCTCCCAGGTTCAAGCAGTGCTCCTGCCTCAGCCTCCTGAGTAGCTAGGATTACAGGCACACGCCACCATGCCCGGCTAATTTTTGTATTTTTTTAGTAGAGACGGGGTTTCACCATGTTGGCCAGGCTGATCTTGAACTCCTGACCTTGTGATCTGCTCGCCTTGGCCTCCCAAAGTGCTGGGATTACAGGCATGAGCCACCGTGCCCGACCTACATTTAAATTTTAAACAAAAGTTTGCTAAATTGTTTTCAGTAGAGGTTATATTAATCTATATTTATACCAACATGGAGAGTTTGTTTCCTGCAAAATAGCCAATAATTTATCAAACCTTTGAATCTTTGTCAATTGAATAGTTAAAAATGATTATCTCATATTTGTACATTTTTATCTTATTGTGAAGTTCAGCACCTTTTCATGTGTTTAAGAACTTTTAATTTTCTGTTGTTTATATGGTCTTCCCATTACCATTTTAACTATTTGTTTTTATTTTCAGAGTTTTTGCTTATAAAATTTTATTTACAGTCAATTCTCTTTATTTGTAGAATCTGTATTTGTAAAGGCACCTACTTGCTAAAATTTATTTGTAACCTAACATCAATACTCATGGCAGTTTCATGGTTTTTCATGGACATACACAGAGGTGAAAAATTTGAGAACCTTACCCAGATATTCCCAGCTGGGGTTGAACAGTGCTCAGTTTTTTGTGTAGCTTTCTTACTATAAACAAGTGTCCTTTTTGAAAGCAGTTTATATAGTTCTACATTTTTCACATTTTTGTGCCTTCTGTTTGTGATTTTACTGTTTAAAGTGATTCCCAAGCATTGTGCTGAAGTGCTATATAGTGGTATTCCAAGGTGCATGCGGGCTGTGAGGTGCCTTAGAGAATACATGTGTTAGATAACCTTTGTTTAGTCATGAGTTATAGTGCTGTTGAGTGGGAGTTAGATGATGATGAGTCATCACTATTTATTATTATATTTTTTGAGATGGAGTCTCACTCTGTCACCCAGGCTGGAGTGCAATGGCATAATCTCGGCTCACTGCAACCTCCTCCTCCCGGGTTCAAACGATTCTCCTGCCTCAGTCTTCCCAGTAGCTGGGATTATAGGCACCCGCCACTGCACCCAGCGTAATTTTTGTATTTTTAGTAGAGGTGGGGTTTTACCATGTTGGGTAGGCCAGTCTTGAACTCCTGACCTCAAGTGATCCACCCACCTTGGCATCCCAGAGTGCTGGGATTACAGATATGAGCCACCATGCCAGGTCTATATTTATTAAATAATGTGTCTTTAAACAGAAACAGATATAAAACAAGCTTACGTATTTATAAGTTGGTGAAAATGTGACCAAAGGCTTACAAGAACCTAACCCTGTATTTCTGTTAGGAGCAATGGCTCAGTATTCACTAATTTGCGTGTTTGTGGCAACTTCATAGAACATAACTACCTCAAGTAATGAGAATTGACTGCATTCTTTTTCAAGTCATTTTATAAACAATTTACAGAAGAATAAAGGGATGGTGAAAATTAACTTTGTTAGCAATTTTAATGAGAATCCAAATATAGGAGACCCACATTTTTTCCCATATTTTCCCAGTTTTGAATGTTTATGTATACCTAAAAGGCATTACATCCTTTGAAAGCAGCTGTCATTATGCATGAATCTGGAACATACCTACCTTTAAATACGGATTTTGGATTTCAAATGCATCTCTACTATGTTCTACCTTATTATTTGTATTCTTCATGAACTCACTTTGTCAAAATGCAATACTTTTTGTTTTTTAATTTATTTTTATTTTTTGTAGAAATAGGGTCTCACTGTGTTGCCCAGGCTGGCCTTGAACACCTGGCCTCAAGTGATCTTCCTGCCTTCCAAAGTGCTGGGGACGGTAGGCATGAGCCACCACACCTGTCCAAACTGCAATACTTCTGAAAACTTTAGGGCTCATAGTTTTGTTGAAGTGATAGATGATGGCTATATTCTTTGTTACATAACAGCAAAACATTTTTGTTTTTACATTTATAAATACCAATTAGAATGACTTTCAGTGGATTGGTTTTCATTTTTCACATCATCTTTACCTTCCTGTTACTTTGTGTACATATCTGTCTTTCATACTTGTCCACTTACAAACTTTTTCAAGTAAATTCTGGTGTTACAAGCATAAAAGATGAAAGAACGTTGTCACATGGTCACTTGTCCTTTTAGCAATTATGCGATGATTCAACTGTTCTAGGTACAACTAGAGGGAGAGTATCCCAGGCAAGGGAGATAACAAATAGAAAGGCCCTAAGACACAAGTGTATTTAACATGTTTGGGGAACAACAAGGAGTTAATCGTGGCTGGAGTGGAAGTAAGGAGGAGAGATTAAGGAGATGGAGCTAAGAGAGGTAGTCAAGGGCCAGGCCATATGTCAGCGATAGTAAGGTCTTCAGCATTTACTTTTTTAAGCTGGGAGTCCATGGAAAGGTTTTGAACCCAAGGTATAGCATGATCTGACTTACAGAAAGAGACTTCTGATTGCTGTGTTGAAAATACACCATAGGTTTGAAGGGAGGAAACAGGCTGACTAGTTAGAGCCAGTGTGGGTAGTGGTGGTTGGATCTGAGTATATTTTCCAAGTGGAGCCACCAGGATTTTTCAGTAGATTGATTACATGTGGTGTATGAAAGAGGAGTGTCAAGTGTAACTCCGAGATTTTTGGCTTATGCAACTGGAAAAATAAAGTTAGAATTTAATGAGATGGAGGTCTGCATAAGGAGTACTTTTGTGGCAGGAAAGAAATTGGGTTTTGAACATGTGAAAATTGAGATGCCCATTAGTAGAAGTTGGATGTGAATAAAGAGTCCAGGCCAGGTGCAATGCCTCATGCCTGTAATCTCAGCACTTTGGGAGGCCAAGGCAGGAGAATCATGTGAGCCCAGGAGTTCAAGACCAGACTGGGCAACAAAGTGAGACCCCGTCTATATTATAAAATAAAAAAATAGTTCAGAGGAGAGGTCTGGGCTAGAGATGGAAATGTAGAAGTTAGTAAATTTAAAGCTGTTGAACTAGAGGAGATAGCTGAGGAAGTGCATTCAAATAGAGAAGATGTCAGAGGAGAACTTTGGGGTTCTCTCAGTGGTTAGAGATAGGATATGAGGAAAAACAGTGCAGGAGACTAAGGAGGAGCTCTCATTGAGTTAGGAAAATCAAGAGGGATGCCCTGGAAGCCAAATGAAGGCAGTGTTTTGAGGAAGAGGGGTGATGGGCCATGTGAAAGCCAATAGGTCACATGCTGCTAATGGGTCAACTAAAGTGAGGACTGAGAAGTATTCACCAATTTAGCAATGTGGAGCTCATTGGTGACCCTCATAAGAGCTGTGTTGGTGGAATGGAGGAGGTAAAATCCTGGAGGGAGAGAACATAAGAATGAGAGAACAGTTGACAGTGCATGTAAACAACTCTTTCACGGAACTTTGTATTTCTGAATTTTTGTTTATTTGGCTATTAATAAAATCATATCTGATATAGTTTTATTTTAGTAAGGTTTGTTTTTGTGGGACTTCAGTTGTGTATACACATATAATATGTGTGTGTATGTATGTGCGTATGGTGTTTTGATGTAAAATTTATTATTGTGGGTCATGGTTAAAAAAAAAGCTTGAGAATGAGGAGTTAGATCAAGAAATAGAAGGAAAGTTGACATAAGAAGTTGTGGATGTAGGAGATTCTACCATGTAGACACAGTGGAAGGATTTAGGGAGTTGGAGCAGGTTGGGATATGTGATCAGAAAGCGGGAGTTTAGCTCTCTCACTTGCCCCTGCTTTTACCATGTGATGTGTCTGCTACCCCTTCACCTTCCACCATGACTGTAAGCTTCCTGAGGTCTCCCTAGAAGCCAAGCAGATGCCAGCACCATGCTTCCTGTAAAGCCTGCAGAACCATGAGCCAATTAAACCTCTTTGTAAATTACCCAGTTTGAGGTATTTCTTTATAGCAGTGCAAGAATGCCCCAATACAGAAAATTGGTACCGAGAAGTTGGGCATTGCTATAAAGATACCTGAAAATGTGGAAACAGCTTTGGAACTGGGTAATGAGTAGTGGTTGGAAGAGTTTACAGGGCTCAGAAGAAGACAGGAAAATGAGGGTAAGTTTCAAACTTTTTTTTTTTTTTTTTTTTGAGACGGAGTCTTGCTCTGTCGCCCAGGCTGGAGTGCAGTGGCGTGATCTTGGCTCACTGCAACCTCTGCCTCCCGGGTTCAAGTGATTTTCTGCCTCAGCTTCCCAAGCAGCTGGGGTTACAGGCATGCACCACCATGCCTGGCTAATATTTTTGTATTTTTAGTAAGGATGGGGTTTCACCATGTTGGCCAGGCTGGTCTCGAACTCCTGACCTCAAGTGATTCACCCACCTCGACCTCCCAAAGTGCTAGGTTTACAGGCGTGAGCCACTGCTCCCGGCAAGTTTGGAACTTCTTAGAGACTAGATAAGTGGTTGTGACCAAAATGCTGATGGTGATAGGGACAGTGAAGTCCAGGTTGACAAGGTCTCAAAAGGAAACGAATTTATTGGGAACTGGAGCAAAAGTCACACGTTATGCCTTAGCAAATAACTTGGCTGCATTCTGCTTGTGTCCTAGGGATCTGTGGAAGTTTGAACTTAAAAACTATGACCTAGCGTATGTGGCAGAAGAAATTTCTAAGCAGCAAAGCATTCAAGATGTGGCCTTCTGCTACTAACAGCCTGTGCTCAGATGTGGGGGCAAATGAATGACTTAAATTTGGAACTTACATTTAAACAGGAAGCAGAGCCTAAAAGTTGGGAAATTTTGCAGCCTAGCCAGGTGGTAAAAAAAAAAACCATTTTCTCCAAGGAATTCAAGCAGGCTGTGGAGCAACCACTTGCTGATATTTGCATAACTGAAAGGGATCCAAGTGGTAATATCCAAGACAATGGGGAAAAGGCCTCAAAGGCATTTCAGAGACCTATGGGGCAGCCCCTCCTGTCATAGGCCCTGAAGCCAAGGAAGACTGAATATTTTCCTGGGCTGAGCCCAGGGCCCTGTTGCCCTGTGCAGCCTCAGAACACTGCTCCCTGCATCCAGATGGCTCCAACTCCAGCAGGGGCTCAAAGGGGCCTAGGTACAGCTTGGGCTGTTACTTTGGAGGGCATAAGCCATAGCCTTCACAGCTTCCATTAGGTGGTAAGCCTGCAGGCACACAGAATGCAAAAATGGTGAATTCTTGGTAGCCTCTGCCTGGATTTCAGAGGATGTATGGAAAAGCCTGGGTGTCCAAGCAGAACCCTGCTGCAGGAGCAGAGCCCTCACAGAGAGCCTCTACTAGGGCAGCGTGGAGGGGAAATGTGGGGTTAAAGGCCCCACGCAGAGTCCCTACTGGGGCACTGCCTAGTGGAGCTGTGAGAAGAGGGCTACTGTTCTCCAGAATGGTAGAGCCACTGGCAGCTTGTACCCTGCACTTGGAAAAGCCACAGACACTCAACCCAGCCTGTGACAGCAGGCTGAACTCTGCAAAGCTATAGGAGCAGAGCTGCCCAAGGCCTTGGGAGCCCAACCCTCATATCAGCGTGCCACATGGAAACCAAGGAGATCATTGTGGAGTTTCATGATTTAATGACTGCCATGCTGGGTTTTGAACTTGCATGGGGCCTATAGCCCCCTTTTTTGGCAGGTTTTTCCCTAATGGGAATATTTCCCCAATCCCTGAACCCTGATTGTATGTTGGAAGTAAATAATTTGTTTTTTATTTTATAGGCTCATAGGTGGCAGGGATTTGCCTTGTCTCAGATGAGACTTTGGATTCCTGAGTTAATGCTGGAATGAGTTAAGACTTTGCGGCACTGTTGGGAAGGCATGGTTGTATTTTGCATTGTGAAAAGGACATAAGATTTGGGAGGGGCCAGAGGTGGAATGATGTGGTTTGGATATTTATCTCTACTTATGTTGAATTTTATCCCGAGTGTTGGAGATGGGGCATGGTGGGAGGTGTTTGGATCATGGGGGCAGATCCCTCATGGCTTGGTGTTACCTTTGTGTTGCTACTGAGTTCTCGTGAGATCTGGTCATTTAAAAGTGTATGAAACCTGCCCCCTGCCCCCGCACTGTCTCTCACTTGTTTCTGCTTTCATCATGTGACATGTGTGCTCACCTTCTGCCATGATTTTAGTTTCCTGAGGCCTCCCTAAAAGCCGAGCAGATGCCAGCACCATGCTTCCTGTAAAGCCTGCAGAACCGTGAGTCAACTAAACCTCTTTTCTTTATGAAAGAAAAGGAAGGAAGGGAGAGAGGGAAGGAGAAAAAGAGAGAGGGAGAGATGGATGGAGGAAGGGAGGGAGGGCTTACAACCATGAGGACAGTTTTTAGGTCAATGAGGGATGACTTGGGAGTCCTATGAAGACTGATGTAAACTAGAATAAAGGGCATGATGAGCTTATGATTCAAAAGTATTTTGTCATAGAAATAGTTTGTTTTCTGTAAAAGAACACAGTAAATATTTTAGCTTTGTAGGCCACTGAGTCTCTGTTGCTTTAAAAAATGTGAAAACCATTCTTAGCTTGAGGGCTGGACAGTCCAGGGCCATACTTTACTGACCGCTGCTTGAACTAAACGCTGTTAGAAGCAGCTCTGGAAAAATAATTTGCATGGAATCTTATGATTTTTTTTTTTTTTTTTTTTTTTTGAGGCAGAATTTTGCTCTTGTTGCCCAGGCTAGAGTGCAATAGCGCGTTCTTGGCTCACTGCAACCTCCGCCTCCTGGGTTCAAGCAATTCTCCTGCCTCAGCCTCCCGAGTAGCTGGGATTACAGGAAGGCACCACCATGCGTGGCTAATTTTGTATTTTTAGTAGAGACAAGGTTTCTCCATGTTGGTCAGGCTGGTCTCGAACTCCCAACCTCAGGTGATCCACCCGCCTCGGCCTCCCAAAGTGCTGGGATTACCAGCGTGAGCCACTGCACCTGGTCAAGTATCATGGTTTTTTAATAGTATGCACACATGGGACAAAACTCAACTGGTATAAAAGGGTATGCAGGAGAAAAAAAGCAAACTTCCCTCTCTCCCTTTTCTGTCCACCAGCCATCCTGTTCTCCTCCCTAAACTCAATTATGGTTGCCTGTTTTTTATATAAGTTTTCCATGAATTTATAAATACATCACGTGCATATATCCTGTCAGTCAATATTAAGAAATTACTAGGTTATTTTGTGTTTATGTGTGCACTATTAGATTTAATGAGTTATGCTAGTTGTTGCCTCTTATATCCACATTCAGTCTTCATTGTCTGTTCTGTAATAATAGATCTGGGCCCTGTAAATACCTCTCCCATGACAGTAAGCACAGAGTGAAACTTTGTCAATCGAGGGTGCTGCTGACACACTGAAGGGGCAAGGGCTGCTTTTCCTGGTTCCATTGTGCTCCTCTAGGCAGACACCTGCAACACCTGTGCCATCTGCAATACCAGCTCCTGTAGCACATACACTCTGCCTCTGCAGCACCTCGTTCTGGCTGCACACTTCTTGGGCGGTGCCTAACTTCAGCAGCACCCAATGGTCAGCAGCGCACAGTACCCCCACATGAATGGCTTCCCTTGACATGCACAAGGTCCCTTCTCTGCAAAGTGCCCCAAGCCCAGCACCTTCTCCAGCTGCAACTCCACAGCCTCAGCAAACCTCTGTCTTTCACAGCTGTGTCCTCTCACACGAAGTCTGGATCTCAGCCCGGATCTCAGCCCTGAGCTTTCTTCTTTGAGTTGTTCTGTCTCAGCCTGGGGTGAAAAGCCCATATCGGCTGTTCCCTGCATCTGCCCAGGCTTCTCTTTATTCCTTACTACCCAATCCCCATTCCAGTCCTCTGTTAATAACTCTTACGGACAGTCCCCAACTCATGATGACTTGACTTAGGATTTTTCTACTTTGCAATGGTGCAAAAGTGATCCGCATTCAGTAGAAACTGTTCCTCAAGTACTCATACGACCTCTATTTTTCACTTTCTGTACAGTATTCAATAAATTGCGTGAGATTTTCAATACTTTATTATAAAATAGGCTTTGTGTTTATGATTTTGCCCAACTGTAAGCTAATATAAGTGTTCTCAGCGTGTTTAAGGTAGGTCAGGTTAAGCGATGATGTTTGGTAGTTTAGGTATATTAAATGCATTTCTGACATACAATATTTTCTACTTACAATGGGTTTTTCAGGATATAACCCTGTTGTAAGTTGAGGAGCATCTTATTTTATTTATTTATTTATTTATTTGAAATGGAGTCTTGCTCTGTCACCCAGGCTGGAGTGCAGTGGCACGATCTTGGCTCACTGCAACCTCTGCCTCCTGGGTTCAAGCAATTCTCCTGCCTCAGCCTCCCAAGTAGCTGAGACTACAGGTGCACACCACCATGCCTGGCTTTTTTTTTTTTTTTTTAATTTTTTTTTGTATTTTTAGTAGAGACAGGATTTCACCATGTTGGCCAGGCTGGTCTCGAACTCCTGACCTCAAGTGATCTGCCCACCTCGGCCTCCCAAAGTGCTGGAATTACAGGCGTGAGCCACTGCGTCAGGCCGAGCATCTGTATATTAAACTTTCCCCATTCAAATTTCTGTGTGGTTTCTGTCTCCTGACTGGATTCTGATATAATGCTTAACAACCTTTCTAATTACAAAGGTATTACATATAAAATCAGACAAGCAAGAAGACAATCCATCCCACCTTCTAGTACTCTTGCCCTCCAGAGGTAGCTCCAGTTAATATTTTAGTGCTAAACTAGATTTATTTTTGTTTTAAATAGAAAAATAATGCAGGCACGAAAGTAAAACAAAAAACAGTACAGAATGGGAGAGACTGAAAAGTAAGAATGGCTTCCAGGCCCACTTCCTAGAGGTACGCACTATTAACATTTTTAGATATAAACTTCCAGAAATTTTTTTCCAGTTTTATTTAGGTATAATTGACAAAATTATTTATATTTCAGTTGTACAACATGGATGTTCAACATGTTTTGGTGTACATATACTTTCTGATATTATAAATGGTTACCACAAGCAAGCTCAGTAACATATTCAGAAATTCTTAATGTAGCTAGCAATATAAGTGGTTTTGTTTTTTGTTTTGAGACAGACAGGGTCTTGCTCTGTTGCCCAGGCTGGAATGCAGTGGCGCCATCTTGGCTCACTGCAACCTCTGCCTCCCGGGTTCAAGCAAGTCTTGCGTCTCAGCCGCCCTAGTGGCTGGGACTACAGGCATGTGCCACCACACCTGGCTAATTTTTGTATTTTTAGTAGAGATGGGGTTTCACCATGCTGGCCAGGCTGGTCTCGAATTCCTCACCTCAAATGATTCGCCCGCCTCAGCCTCCCAAAGTGCTGGGATTACAGGTGTGAGCCACCGCACCCAGTCATAAGTGGTTTTCTAAACAAATGAGACCACACCATACATACTGTCCCTATATTTCATACTTGGGCAAGGGGAGGGGAGTTGACTTTTTTCTTAGTGAGAATAAAAATGAGGATAAAAGTATGGTTGTTTACCAACTTATAGTAGTATCATGAATTTCGAATGGTCTTCTGGCCGTTCAGAAAACTACTTAACTGGTAGGAACGAAATTCTGGACACTGACATTGATATAGACACTCATATCAAATATAATACTATGAAATACTATGATATGGAAATAATATGCAATCACTAGAGATAAAATATTTTCTACCCAAGTAGAGTGGATTCATAAGAAAATTCTAAATTATAGCATATGTTGAACTCTGAGAAGCCTCTGGAATGAAGTCATTTTTCCCTAACCCCTGTTTCCTCTTTATATTGGCAGTGGATAAATGGAAAGTAAGTTAACTCTACTGTACCAAAGCTAGTTCAATATAGAAAACAGGTTCTACAAGGATTAAGGAACATCTCTTGGCCCACAGAAGATTCATGTGGATCCTGTGTTAAACCCGTTTCATCCATGTATGAAAGTGATTCAACCGTTAAGTTAGCCATTTATTATATAAATTGAATACTTCTTCCATATTGTGGCTTTTAGATAGATTGGCAGACCTGTCCCCAACCCCTTCCCTGTTGACCATGGACAATGGAGGGTTTGCTGTATAAACTTGATTGAAGGGTTTGCCTTTAGCTGGGGTGGATTACTCAGGGACCTCAAAGGTATTGGTGATGATTTATTTCTTGAGCTTGGTGGTGAGTATGCAGGACTGTGTTTTGTTTTGTTTTGTTTTTTAGCAAGCCTTACACATTTTCTTTTGTATGCAATATTTAATAAAATAATTTTGGATAATTTGGTTTTTAGCATTAATCAACAACTTTTTTTACATCCTCAATATGCCCCAAGACAAATTATTGATTCAGCAGTTTTTAGCTGAATCTTTTATTTCTGAATGATTGGAGAGAACGGCAGTATCCATTTCTGGAGAATAGTTAAGTACTTAGATTGAGGATGTCTTTCTTTCATGACATTAAGCAATGCAATATCATCTGCATCCAAGAGCCAACTTAACATGTTCAGTCTAATGAGCCTTGGTAGTCGTAACACACATTGACTCAAAGACTTGACTGTTGTGGCCTGAGCTTTGATACACTCTGTGAAATGCCTGGAGATGTCCAACTCCTGCAAGTTTGGCATGTTGTCCAGTGCTTGAAAGAAATTTCTGTATCCTTCCTCTGTAATCTTGTGATTGATTGAAAGCTTTAGGTTCTCAAGTTTCTGGAAACCTCCACTGATTGCTACTTTGGCTACAAGAACAAAACATTCATGAAAATAGAATCATAAGGACTTCCATTTCAATAATGGTAGACAAGGTTATTTGAACCAGCCTCCTCTCCCACCACTACTGCTAGTAGGAAGTACTCAATATAATTTTGTTTTTTGAAATGGGGTCTTGCTATGTTAACACAGGCTGGTCTCTTTTTCTTTCTTTCTTTTTTTTTTTTTTTTTTTTTTTTTTTTGAGATGGAGTCTCGCTCTGTTACCCAGGCTGCAGTGCAGTGGCATGATCTCAGCTCACTGCAACCTCCGCCTCCCAGGTTCATGCCATTCTCCTGCCTCAGCCTCCCGAGTAGCTGGGACTACAGGCGCCCGCCACCATGCCCAGCTAATTTTTTGTATTTTTAGTAGAGACGGGGTTTCACTGTGTTAGCCAGGATGGTCTCGATCTCCTGACCTTGTGATCCACCCGCCTTGGCCTCCCAAAGTGCTGGGATTACAGGCGTGAGCCACCGCGCCTGGCCATCACAGGCTGGTCTCAAACTCGTGGACTCAAGTGATCCTCCTGCCTCAGCTTCCCAAGTAGGTGGGATTACAAGCACGTGTCACTGTGCCCAGCTTAATATAATATTTTGAAAATATCTCCTTAAAAACCCCAAAGAGCTGATGGGTTAATAAAGAACCACCTGGCAAAAATCTAAGGGAGAAGCAGAAACCAAAGAAGTACAGCCAAGCCTAAAGCACTGACGCCATTGTGCTGAGAGTTTCACCATCCTGGACAAATATGAGCTTCTCTTTTGGTCTCACAGGAGGTCACATGCCAAGGTACATCATGCCTACAAACCAGACTAAATTGGCAAGTCACAGTGGCTCACGCTTGTAATCCCAGCATTTTGGGAGGCCGAGGTGGGTAGATCACTTGAAGTCAGGAGTTCGAGACCAGGCTGGCCAACATGGTGAAACCCCATCTCTACTAAAAATACAAGAATCAGCCGGATATGGTGGTACATGCCTGTAATCCCAGCTACTCGGGAGGCTGAGGCAGGAGAATCAGCTTGAACCTGGGAGGTAGAGGTTGCAGTGAGCCAAAATCCCACCACTGCACTCCAGCCTGGGTGACAGAGCAAGACTCCGTCTAAAAAACAAAAAGAGAAAACAAAAAAAAAAAAATCCAGACTAAATTACAAGGGACTTCAAAGAGTGTAGCAATTATGTCTTCCCCTTTTATAGAGAAGGGGGTGTGACATTCCTAAAGCCATGTCATCCGACTGTCCACTGCTATGCCCTATTTCTGTTGCCCAGAAGGGACCCTCCTGTTTTTGAGACTAAGGGCTCTGAAGGAAATGGAAGCCGGGCACACCCTGTGTTCTCAATGAACACAGGCTGACTAGACTTTGGAATGGGTACCAAGCAGAGTTCTTGTTGTTTGGTTTAGGGGTTTTTAAAAAAAAAAAAATTTTTTTTTTTGAGACAGGGTGTCACTTGGTTGCCTAGGCTGGAGTGCAATGGTTCAGTTATAACTCACTGCAGCCTAGAATTTCTGGGCTCAAGCAATCCTCCCGCCTCAGCCTCCTGAGTCCTAGCTACTCAGGACTAGCCACCGTGCTTGGCTAATTTTTCAATTTTTTATGGAGACAAGGTCTTGCTATGTTGCCCAATCTTGTCTCAAACTCCTGGCCTCAAGCAGTCCTTCTATCTTGGCCTCCCAACGTGTTGGGATTACAGGCATGAGCCACCATGCCCAGCCTTGTTTTTAATTGCTAAACCTCTTTTTTTTTCTAACTTGGGCAAAGGTTAAGTTTGGTTTCAATCTAGAATCCATGGCTGTAGCTTGACTGAGGTTAAACAACAGAGGTACTGAGAAAATGTCTTCAGCTATGTCCTGAATAGGTATCTTCAGTAACATTCAAGAGATATTTCTCATTCCCCCACATGAAAGACACTTCTGGAGGGACTTGAAGAAAGACTCAGGTCTTTCACATCCATTCCCTTCTTTCCCCTGTTTCAGCATAACTCCCACTTCATATTGTGTGATTAGCCGGTTCTGTGATGTGTCTGAATGCTGTCTCCTACAGGTAAAGTTTAAGCATTACTGACTATAGGCAAACAATGGCCTCTCAGCTGTCCATCAGAAGAAGCTACAGAAAAGTAAGTTTTCTTTATTCAGTCAACAAATATTTACTGAGTTCCCACTATAGGCCAGGCATACTCTGCTGGGCGCCGGGAAGAGAAAACACCTGCTCTCAGGAGGGAGAGCGACAGGGGTTACTGGCTCAAATCTGTGTGTGAGATTGAAGTTCTAAGGAAGGCTTTGACCTAATGTAGTGAGAAGAATAAAACACAAATAATTTATAGTAAATGAGGATGAGAGAGACCACAAAATTTAATGTTATTAAATTCTTCCTCATAAGGAGGAAGAAACAAGGCCTTTAAGAAAAACGTTGTAAGTTGTCATTGTTTTTTGTTTTTTGTTTTTTTTTTTGAGACGGAGTCTCGTTCTGTTGCCCAGGCTGGAGTGCAGTGGCATGATCTTGGCTCACTTCAAGCTCCACCTCCCGGGTTCACACCATTCTCCTGCCTCAGCCTCCCGAGTAGCTGGGACTACAGGTGCCCGCCATCACGCCTGGCTAATTTTTTGTATTTTTAGTAGAGACGGGGTTTCACCATGTTAGCCAGGATGGTCTCGATCTCCTGACCTCGTGATCCATCCGCCTCGGCCTCCCAAAGTGCTGGGATTACAAGCTTGAGCCACCGCTCCCAGCTGTTTTAAATAACGTAAAATAACAGTGCTGAGCAGTAAGAAAATGAGATCCAGCCCTTGTAACACACCCGACAAAGCCTCTCCAATTGGGCTTTTACTTTCCTCTCCAGTCTTCTTCTCACAACTCACTCCTGCCTCTTGCTCCAGACATTCCTTTTTTTCCCCCAAGTTCTTCAAATATATCTGGTTCTCTTTAACTCCAGGCTATGACACAAGTGATTACCTCTGTTTGAAATGATGTCTCAATTCCTCCTCTACCAACTATGCCTGGGCCATTCTCCCTTCAGGTCTCGACAGAAATCTCAGTTCCTCAGGCCAGGCACTGTGGCTCACTTGAGGTCAGGAGTTCGAGACTAGCCTGGCCAACATGGTGAAACCCTGTGTTTACTAAAAATACAAAATTAGCCAGGTGTGGTGGCGTTCACCTGTAATCCTAGCTACTTGGGAGGCTGAGGCAGGAGAATCGCTTGAACCCAGGAGGCAGAGTTTGCAGTGACCCGAGATCGTGCCATTGTACTCCAGCCTGGGCAACACGAGCGAAACTCTGTCTCAAAAAAAAAAAAAAGAAGAAAATAAGAAAATAAAATTCAGTGAGCAGTACACATGATTTTTGTACTTTTCTGTGTGTATATTCATCTTCAGTTTTAAAAAGGAGTACTTAGGAGAGTATGTGGCCAGGTGTCTAAAACACCAGGTGGCAAGAACGCAGATTTGAGGGCTTGTATATCCACAAATGGGAGACCTTTTTGTACTTCCAAATCTGACCAGAATGCGCCTAAATCCACAGAAGGACACTAGAAGGAACAGTATGATAGTGAAAATGAGGAAGCGGGTTGAAAATTTCTAGAGGGGCAAATGTTTACATAGACATGTTGCAGCAGAAAGCTTGGCTATACCACTGGCTTCCATGCAAGCTGAAACACTAGCTCACCAATTTCCACCACGCTGTCATCATTCAAAGTCTTGAAAAATGAGAGGACTCGGAGACAATGAAGCTGCTGACACTGCTGGATGATCAGTTTGGCCACTCGATAAATTCCATCCCCAGTAGGAAGGATCAATTCTTCCAGGTTACTAAGAGAACCTAAAATGTAGGCTGTCAGAAAAGACCAAAAAGCTATTCTCTTTGTACTTTTTGTTCCTATGCAACAGTAATCTGAAAATCATGTATGGTCTAAACATCATGCACAGTCCAGGAAGCAAGAGAAGGGCCAGCACATGCTTCCGTCTTCCTCGCTCCTCCAGACAATTCCTCCACCACACCCTACCAACCAATCTCTCCTGCACTAAAGTCCAGGCTGCCAATTAAATCTCCATTCCTCGTTTAGAATGAAGCTTTTCCTGACCTGCAGGTTCCTTTCCCAGCTCTGCAATGCCTTCAGCCACCTCCTTTCCCATTCCACCTCCCGCTGTCATGCTCAGTGATTCTGCACCGGCCTCCTGGCCCTAAAGCCTCACAGTCCACCACTCTTAGAACCTTCCTTTTCACTTCGACTCCTTCCTAGCATGGCACACGATAGATCATTTGATCATTAGAAAGGTAACTTCTGAGGCCTCACACATGGAAATATATTGAATAATTTCTAGCATAAATCAATGTCCCAGGCTTATCATTTTCTTTCCCTGTCTCAGTTCTTGAATCAGCCAATTTTGCAAGGACCCTGGTTCCTTTACGGAAGGACAGGATTTAGAAATCAGTATCTAGGCACTTGGTGTGTTCATTATTACTGCAGTGCCTTCTAGTCTCTCCACTGAGCTGAGAAATATGTATGTGTGTATCTATAGACATGTGGAGATCAATGTATATATATGGAGATCTCTATGTATGTTCATAGGTTAGAAAAAACCATGAGGCCAGACCAATATTTCCAATTCTAATCCAACACCTCAAAGCTCTTTCTAGCCTCACCTTTCAATATTTGTAAGTTCCTTTTCCAACTGTGAGGAAACGTGGCTCTCATTATACTCACTGTTTTGTTCGTTTGTTTGTTTTTGAGACAGAGTCTTGCTCTGCCACCCAGGCTGGAGTACAGTGACCTGATCTTGGCTCACTGCAATCTCTGCCTCCGAGGTTCGAGAGATTCTCCTGCCTCAGCCTCCCAAGTAGCTGGGACTACAGGCATGTGCCACCACGCCCAGCAAATTTTTGTATTTTTTAGTAGAGATGGGGTTTCACCATGTTGGCCAGGCTGGTCTTGAACTCCTGACCTCAGGTGATCCACCCACCTCGGCCTCCCAAAGTGCTGGGATTACAGGTGTGAGCCACTGCATCTGGCTATACTCACTGTATTATTTGCTTAATCAACCTATGATGTATGCCAGCCATCCCCTTGGCCCTGATCCTACCTCTGCCACCTCAGCCCCCACCCACCTAGCTGCCTCCAAGGAAGGGAAGAGGAGGATCCTGGCAATCTTTATGTACGCTTATGTTTGAGAAGCACTTTGAATAGCACAGCTCTACAGTCCCTATCTCCACTGCCTCCCTTTATTTTTTTTTTTTCCTGTTAGAATGTTTTCCATGAGCATACATTACTTTCATAATCGTTTTTTAAAAATCAAAAAGTATTTAAATTCTATAGCTATCATTTTATGAAATACACGTTTTCACGTATTGAGTTTTCCTAACCTTAAAAGATAGATTTTTACCTATATTCTAGTAACCTTTGAAACTATGAGGTCTTATATTTGGAACAGATACCTGACAATTATATTGCATAGTGCTATAATGACCAAATATGTACTCTAAGAAGTCATTCTGCTTTGAATGAGATCAAGTCTGCAGGTAAAACTGTAGTGAAGGCATTTGGTGGGTAGAAGTTGAGCATGACTATCACTTCGTTCTGGTAAGCAAGGGTAGCTAATGCATATCTTGCTTCCTTGTGGCTAATTCAGAATAGGAGAAAAAGGATTCTGGGCAGAAAGAGAATAAGAATACGTAAAAAGCACTATTTTGTAAACATACCAAATTTTTCTGATGTTTCCTCATCAGGAAATTGCTGGCCTTCAAGATTTAATATCTTCAGAGAAATAAAATTTGGCAAACTGGCAACTATGAAAGGGAAAATAAAAATTTAGTTATGTCAGCTACATGTCTCACAGCAAAGTGTAACATCTTTAAAATGAAGAAATTAGAAATTAATGTAATAATTCAGATTGAATTCATATGACTAAGTAGATAAAACAAATTTTTGCTCAGAAAATAATTCTGATAACTAGAAATGTTGTTAAAATTCTAGAAATTTCAAATCCAACTGAGCGTAAAGGTAAAAAAGAAAATTCTGGAAACACCTATACTTTATTATTTGAGAAACAATTTTTCTTTTCTTTCTTTCTTTTTTTAAAGAGACAAGGTCTGTGTCACCCAGGCTGGAGTGCAGTGATACCATCACAGCTCGCTGCAGCTTCAACCTTCTGGGCTCAAGTAATCTTCCTGCCTTAGCTTCCCTAGTAGCTGGGACTATAGGTACCACTGTGCCCGACTGATTTTTTTAAAGCTTTTTAGAGGTGGAGGGCTTGTTATGTTGCCCAGACTGGTCTCAAACCCCTGACCTCAAGCAAGCCTCCTGCCTCAGCTTCCCAAAGTGCTGGGATTACAGGCATGAGCCACCACACCCAGCCTCAAAATATGGCCCTTTTTAAAGAGTGCTTAATATGACTCTGTGTCCATAGAAACATTTTAAACCACCATTGTAATATTATAACTCTTACCAAATGGGACGGCTTGAAAAAATGAATCCGAAAACTTAATTTCTGTGAGTTTCTTACAGGAAACAAGCATAGTCATGAGAGACCCAAAATCCGAAAAGAAGTTACACTTCAGATGGAAAACATGAAGGTTTGGAGAATTTTGAATTAATTTTACTGTAAAAGATCAAGGATTTTCAGAAATTAGAAAATACTGCAAATTTCTATCAAAATTAGCCAAGTAGTTTATTATTTTGTTTCAATAATACTTAATTAAAACCAGGTACCACGATCTCATGATCTAAGAATCAGGTCACTGGGCTTGGGTTCAGGTTCTGCAACTAGCAAGTAATGTGAATTTTGACACATTATTGACCCTCTCTGGGTAACAGTTTTCTCTTCTATAAAATACAAGCATTGACTCAGTAGCATCACCTTCAGCTTTAACACCTAATAACTCTAAGTTTGTACATGACATTTACACAATAAGAATACAAAGAGGCCAGGTGCTGTGGCTCATGCCTGTAATCCCAGCACTTTGGGAGGCCGAGGCAGGTGGATCATCTGAGCTCAGGAGCTCGAGACCAGCCTGGCCAACATGGTGAAACCCTGTCTCTACTAAAAATACAAACATTTGCCAGGCGTGGGTGGCAGGCAGCTGTAATCCCAGCTACTCGGGAGGCCGAGGCAGGAGAATCGCTTGAACCCAGGAGGCAGAGGTTGCAGTGAGTGGATATTGCGCCACCAAACTCCAGCCTGGGCAACAGAGCAAGACTGCATCTCCAAAAAAAAAAAAAAAAAAAAAAAAAGAATACTATACAAAGAAACAGCTGGGCATAGTGGCTCACGCCTGTAATCCTAGTACTTTGGGAGGCTGAGGTGGGCGGATCACCTGAGGTCAGGAGTTTGAGACTGGCCTGGCCAACATGGTGAAACCCCGTCTCTACTAAAAATATTAAAAAATTAGCCGGGCATGGTGATGGGCGCCTGTAATCCCAGCTACTTGGGAGGCTGAGGCAGGAGAATTGCTTGAACCCAGGAGACGGAGGTTGCAGTGAGCTGACAACGGTGCCACTGCACTCCAGCCTGGGTGACAGATTGAGACTCTGTCTCAAAAAAAAAAAAGAAACATAAAAGGAATGACAACTCTGAAGCAAAACCTAAATTTGTTGCAAAATTTGCTGACAAATATAACTACCACCTCCAGCTTCGGTGTATATATGTATGCACACACACACACACACACATATATATATATATTTTTTTTTTTTTTTTTTTTTTGAGACAGGGTCTTGCTCTATCACCTAGGCTGGAGTGCAGTGGCATGATCATAGCTTATTGCAAGCTTGAACTTCTGGACTCAAGTGATCCTACCAGCCTCCTGAGTAGCTGGGGACTATAGGTGCACACCATCATACTTGGCTAATTTTTTATTTTTTTAGTAGAGACGATGTCTTGCTATATTGCCCAGCCTGGTGCTGAACTCCTGCTCTCAGGCGATCCTCCCGCCTCGGCCACCCAAAGTGCTAAGATTACAGGTGTGAGTCACTGTGCCTGGCCAACAATGAAGCTTTTGCATGCAAGTCTTTATGTCAATTCCATAGAGTTGTATATTTCTTCAATCTTTAGTGTTCAGTGTTTACTAAGTTAAGGAATGATGGTGCCTAAGTCATTTAGCTAAATGATGTATTTAAGAAAGATGGCTGCACCATTTTCCATGAACTATTAGGATAGGCTGGTGAGAAACAGGGAAATACTTCCAATGACTACGGATTAGCAGATTTCCTTCCTGCTGAGCTGCCAGATCTGTAAGTTGCAATGTAAGACCAGCCTAACCAAAAACAAAATAAAATAACCCTACAAATTATTTTGGAGTGGCAACATTATATTAGGGATTTCTTTCTTTTTTTTTTTTTTTTTCTGAGATGGAGTTTTGCTCTTGTTCCCCATGGAGTTTTGCTCTTGTTCCCCATGGAGTTTTACTCTTGTTCCCCAGGCTGGAGTACAATGGCGCGATCTCGGCTCACATTGCAATCTCTGCCTCCCAGGTTCAGGTAATTCTCCTGCTTCAGCCTCTCAAGTAGCTGGGATTACAGGCATATGCCACCATGCCAGCAAATTTTTGCATTTTTAGTAGAGGCAGGGTTTCACCATGTTGGTCAGGCTGGTCTCGAACTCCTGACCTCAGGTGATCTGCCCTTCTCGGCCTCCCAAAGTGCTGGGATTACAGGTGTGAGTCACCAGGCCCGGCCTATATTAGGGATTAAGAACTCAGATTTTGGAGTCAAAATTCCTGTATTTGAGTCACAGATATACATTTCCTTAGCTGGATATTACGAATTACTTTATCTCTTTATGTCTCAGTTTTCCCAGCTACAAAATAGCATTAATAATAGTACTTTACTTTGGCCAGGCACGGTGGCTCATGCCTGTAATCCCAGCACTTTGGGAGGCCGAGGCGGGAAGATCATGAGGTCAGGAGATCGAGACCATCCTGGCTAACACGGTGAAACGCCGTCTCTACTAAAAATACAAAAAATTAGCTGGGCGTGGTGGCAGGCACCTGTAGTCCCAGCTACTTGGGAGGCTGAGGCAGGAGAATGGTGAACCTGAGAGGAGGAGCTTGCAGTGAGCCGAGATCGTGCCACTGCACTCCAGCCTGGGCGACAGCGCGAGACTGTCTCAAAAAAAAAAAAAAAATAATAATAATAATAATAATAATAATAGTACTTCATAGAGTGGGTATGAAGACTGAGTTCATATTTGTGAAGTGCTTAGGATACTTCCTAGTGTGTAGTAAAGGCTCAATAATTACAAACAGCACTCTGCTTTCTTAATGAGAAAGAGTGCTATTCCTCACAATTTACCATGGATACAGGCTACACCCTTAGAACCACAGGCACTTTAACTCTTAAATAAATTATTGGCCAAGTAGCTTTTCCAACTTACGTAAAAACAAGTATATTAAAGTGCCATCCTTACCTAGTTTGGAAGGATCATACTCAGCTGAAATTTGGATCAATAATTTCTCCATATGGTGGAAGTTTGGAAATTCTTCAGGAATGACTGAAAAAACATTTATATTGCCCTCCAGATCCACAGACAGTTCTTTCAGGCACAGGAACTTATCCAGATTAGGAAAGATTTGGTCTGGAAAGCAGCACAGTTTCCCATTATTAATCTAAAGAGTTCTGAATGGACATTTTAAAACTGTCATTTTGATTCATCCAGCTATTTTCACATGCAAACCTTCCACATACCATAAAACATTCTTTTTTTTTTTTAAAGAATACATATATGAAGATATTGCTTTTTGCAGCTTATGCACTGTATGGGAAGCCCTGTGCTACTCTTCAGACTCACAAAAAGAAATACAGCATCTCGGCTAGGCGCAGTGGCTCATGCCTGTAATCCCAGCACTTTGGGAGGCTGAGGCGGGCGGATCACGAGGTCAGGAGTTTGAGACCAGTCTGGCCAACATAGTGAAACCCCGTCTCTACTAAAAATACAAAAAAAAAAATTAGCTGGGTATGGTGGTGTGCATCTGTAATCCCAGCTACTCAGGAGGCTGAGGCAGGAGAATCACATAAACCTGGGAGACGGAGGTTGCAGTGAGCCAAGATCGCGCCATTGCACTCCAGCCCAGGCTACAGTGTGAGACTCCGTCTCAAAAAAAAAAAAAAAAAGAAGAGAAAAGAAATATAGCATCTCTTCAACAAACGGTTGGGGACAACTGGATTTGCACATGCGAAAGAATGAAGTTGGATTCCTATCCCTCACCATGTAAAAAAAATCAACTCAAAATGGATCAACGACCTAAATATAAAAGCTGAAATCACACAACTCTTAGAAAAAACATAGGAGTTAATCTTCATGACCTTGGATTTGGCAATGGATTCTTAGATAGGACACCAAAAGGACCAGCAATAAAAGAAAAAAACAGATAAATTGGACTTCGTCAAAATTTAAAACTTTCGTGCACAAAGGACATTATAAATAAAGTAAAATGACAACCTATGGAATGGGAAAAATATTTTCAAACTGTGTATCTGATAACAGGTTGAAATCCAGAATATACAAATAACTCTTACAATGCAACAAAAACAACAACAATTTTTAAATGAGCAAACATATTTTTTCAAAAAGTGAAAAGATACTTAACATCATTTTCATGATTTGCATTAGAGAAATGCAAATCAAAACCACAATGAGATACCACTTCACAACTACTAGAATGGCTTTATGATAATCACAAAACAAAATGGGCTGGGTGAGGTGGCTCATACCTGTAATCCCAGCACTTTGGAAGGCCAAGGTGGGTGGATCATTTGAGCCCAGGAGTTCAAGACCAGACTAGGGGCCAGGCACGGTGGCTCATGCCTGTAATCCCAGCACTTTGGGAGGCCGAGGTGGGTGGATCACCTGAGGTCAGGAGTTCAAGACCAGCCTGGCCAACATGGTGAAACCCCATCTCTACTAAAAATACAAAAATTAGCTGGGTGTGGTGGCGGGAGCTTGTAATCCCAGCTACTTGGGAGGCTGAGGCAAGAGAATGGCGTGAACCCAGGAGGCAGAGCTTGCAGTGAGCCGAGATTGCGCCACTGCACTCCAGCCTGGGGGACAGAGCGAGGCTCCATCTCAAAAAAAAAAAAGAAAGAAAAAGAAAAAAGACCAGACTAGGCAACATAGCAAGAATCTGTCTCTACAAAAAATAAAAAATTATCCAGGCACGGTGGTGCATGCTGGTAGTCTCAGCTACTCAGGAGGCTGAGGCAGGAGGATCACCTGAGCTCAAGAGGTTGAGGCTGCAGTGAGCCATGATTGCACCACAGCACTCCAGCTTGGGCAATAGAGCAAGACACTGTCTGAAAAACAACAATGAAAACAAAAACAGGTCGGGCACTGTGGCTCATGCCTGTAATCCTAGCACTTCGGGAGGCCAAGGTGGCTGGACTGCCTGAGCTCAGGAGTTCGAGACCGGCTTGGGCAACATGGCGAAACCCCATCTCTACTAAAAATACAAAAGTTAGCCAGGTATGGTGGTGCACACCTGTAGTCCCAGCTACTCAGGAGGCTGAGACAGGAGAATTGCTTGAACCCGAGAGGTGGAGGTTGCAGTGAGCCAAGATCTCGCCACTGCACTCCAGCCTGGGTGACAGAATTAGACTCTGTCTCCACAAAAACAAAAATTAACAAGTGCTGAAGAGGATGTGGAGTAATTGGAACCTTTGTACATGGATAGTGGGAATGTAAGATGGTGCAGCTACTGTGCAAGTTCCTCAAAAAGTTAAACATAGAACTACCATATGAATCAGCAATTCTGCTTCTAGGTATATACCCAAAATGATTAAAAGCAAGAACTTAAACCGATACTTATAATGCCAGTGTTCATTGCAGCATTATTTATGATAGCCAGAAGGTAGAAACAACCCAAGTGTCTCTCAGCAGCAGAATGGATAAACAAAATGTACTATATACATACCATGGAATATTAGCTATAAAAAGGATGAAGTTCCTTTTCAAAGTTGATACATAATAATTGTACATATTTATGGAGTACATGTGAAGGAATGAAATTCCAATATAGGCTACAACATGATGTACCTTGAACAGTATGCAAAGTGAAATAAGCCAGACAAGTGATAATGCTTATAAACAATATCTAGAAGAGGCAAATTCATAGAGACAGAAAATAGAAGAGAAGTTATCAGGGGCTGGTGGGAGGGAAGATTTTTTTTTTTTTTTTTTTTTTTTTTTTTTTTGAGACGGAGTCTCACTCGGTAGCCCAAGCTGGAGTGCAGTGGCATGATCTGGGCTCACTGCAACCTCTGCCTCCCAGGCTTAAGTGATTCTCATGCCTCAGCCTCCCGAATAGCTGGGACTACAGGCGCATGCCACCACGCCCAGCTAATTTTTTGTATTTTAGTAGAGATGTGGTTTCACCATGTTGCCCAGGGTGGTCTCAAACTCCTGAGCTCTGGCGATCCACCCTCTTCGGCCTCCCAAAGTGCTGGGATTACAGGCGTGAGCCCCCGCGCCCGGCCCAATTTATTGTTTAATTGGGATGATGAAAAGGTTCTGGAGATGGATAGTGGTGATGGTTGTACAACATAGTGAATGCTTAATGCCACTGAGTTGTACACTTAAAATGATTAAAATGTAAGCTTTGTTACATGTATTTTACCATAATAAAACAGTACTTGAAAAAAGATGAAAAATTTTCTAAATTTGGTAAATGTCAACCCACACATTCCAAAAAAGTTCAGTGCACCTCAAGCAAGATACATACAAAGCAAAGCACACCTAGGCATATAACAGTCAAACTGCTTAAGACCAAAGCAATACTAGCAACAATTAGAAAATGAAAAAATATTTTTAATGACATTTACAATACTTTCAAAAGATATGAGTATCTAGGAATAAATTTAATGAAAGATGGGTTAAGTCTACACTGAAAACTATCAAATAGTGCTTAGAGGAGTTAAGACACAAATAGATGAAGATATTATTTCCCATTAATTTATTTATTTCCCAGGGACTACAGGCCTTTCTTCCTTTAGGCAGCTAGGGTGAAGGTAATTTCTAAGCATCATCTTACATATAGCTAATTCTTTTACTAATAACAGATAATTCATGTCTTTATTAAGAACCTTCAATAATTTAATATAAATATTTTATTCATTTTGTCTGAGTTATTTGAAAACCATTCTATTATTCAAGGACTTTTCACTAATTCATGCTACTGTCAAAAAAAATTAGTGAAGGTTTATTTTATATCTGTTCTATCAATGAGCATGCATGCTTTCATGGCCTCAGAAGTTTTCAACCACTTAAAGTAAGAAAAAGAAATTATACATCAGAATAGTCATCCAAAATATATACAGGTATACCTTGTGACTGGATTGTCCCTGAGACTTCAAGAGATTCCAGGGAAGGCAGGGTGAGAAGCAGTTCCTGTTCGGCTGCGCTGAGTTCCAACTTGCTTATGGAGCACTTGGTGACAGAGGCCTTAGACAGCTCAAGAGCTGGGCGGATGCTTTCTATAAAGCCTCTGCTGTGGTTTAAATGGAGTTCGATGCGCTGTGAAGCTGAGAAAACTGTCATTAGAATCTCAAGCATATCCTGGCCTACAACATCAATATCATTCACATCGACTTCTAGACAGGGAATCTTGTACTGCTTTGGAGAAAGTTTCCAATAGCCAGTACTAAGGTCTGGTGATGCCCTGCGCTGCATATCCATATAGCTCTTTACATTATCCTCTTTTTCAGCTAAATTTCGCTCCCATTCATTCATAGGTTCAAAGGCAGAAGCATAGTCCTGATCTATAGTTGGCACCTGTGATTTGTCAAAACATGTTTCCAGAACTGAAAAATGTGCTCTGGGTGATGTCTTATTTCCTCGTATTGGGAAGTGGATGCTCCTCAACAATGACAAGCTTTCTGGGTGGTCGAAAAAGTACTGTAAGTTAAGCGCACCCAAAGTCAGTGTTCTCCCTTGAAGGAATTGCAAAACAAATGGAGAACACGCAGCAACAGTGTTGCTTTGATAAGCAGTTTTCAGGGCAAGAACCAGTAAATGTTCTGAAACCATTGAAAAGTAAGCTTGTGGACAAATTTGCCACAATCCCCTAAGTAACTGCATCTGCAGTGAAATTTCTGGCTGGTGCTTTAAGTAGTCATCATTTTCAGATATATTCTCCAATGACTCTTTGTTATCCACTAAATGGAGCAAATGAGACACAATTTTGGGCCCTGCTTTTGTTGAAGGGAGGCTGGAGACATAGTTCAAAAAATTGTTGTAGGCGCTTACAGTCATCATGGGTGAGTTGATTTGTTTCAAATGATACAGTCCCAAATCTTGATGTTCCTGCCTATCTGAATCCAGGAGTTCAATCAGCCTCATCCCCGCAAGAAATTCTTGGAAGGCAGGACTTAAAAACCGGTAGAATGGTCTTAGTCTCTGGGCTGTAAATTTGCTCATCAAGCACATGGTTAGATCTTCATCTTCATCAACCCCTGCTTCTGCGAGATCATCATCATTAAACTCAAAGCAACATGAAAAAAACCCTTTCAAGGCCAGCTCACCACAGGAGGACACAGTTGCTTTGAGAATTTCAGCTGTCGCTTTGTTCCTTAAGGAAAGGCGTTCCATATAGGACTTGAAAACAGCCACATCATCAAAGGATGGGTCAAAAGGATACTGAAACCAATGAGCACAGATCGCCGCCACAAAGAGAGGAGTTTTCTGTATCTTCTGCAAACTTTGGTTCTTTCCAAAGTAAACCATAAACTTTCGCAGACGAGTCATATTATGTGAAAAGAGCTTCCGTAATATACAGACAGTATTATAAAAGGGAAATGCTTTGATCTCTAGAATGGTCTCTAGGTATCGGCGGATGTCCCTGGCCCTGTTTGTACGGACAGCAATCAATAGGCAGGTCCGGGATAAGTGGTTTTTTTGAATCAGTTTTCCTATGACTTGAGGGATTGAACATATTTCTTTGTAGTCATCTAAAAGGAATAAGACCTGATTCTTTAACTGCTGGATAATGTTCCTCATGCACATTTCAGTAACAGATCCTTCTTTCTCTAGGAGCTGGTCACAGATGATACTGGCCAGCCCCTCGTCTGGTCTGGTGGAACTAAGGGAGAGGTAGAAAACCAGCTGGAACCTGTTTAACAGGGGACAGCATCCAGATGCCCACAGAAAAGCTATTTTCTTCAGGAGGACCGTCTTTCCACTTCCAGCTTCACCCTCCACACACATGACAGAGTTCAAGTTGCCAAAGACCTCAGGCAGCACCAGAGGTTCTTGCACAGGTTTGCTGATGTGTTTTGAAGCAATAGACAGATCACAGCCCAGCAAGTGGTCCGTGGCCAGATCGGAAGAGATATCAAGCAAAGACATGTGGCGGAAACTGGCGCTGGTATAAGCTGCTCTCAGCTGCTCATTCAGATTCTTTGCCTCTTGAAACCACTGGGCTTCACCCTGTGCCATTTCTGTGCAGAGAAAGAAAGGGGGGCACAACAGGGATTCATAGTCACATCTCCCTCAGTCTGAACGCCATGCCTTTTCATTCCATGATTCTGCCTGTCTACTACGAATGTGTTAGGATTTTCCACAGCCATCCATGATTCCCACATTGCGATCATCTCATAGGTTTTGGCACAAAATCGGAATGTGGGAAGCATGTGTCCAAAGTGCCACACTTGAAGCAGGGACCTAGACATAATGTGTGCTTATCATAAGCACCATGCATCTCAGGAAAGAGGCCAGGCAAAGTGACTCATGCCTGTAATCCCAGCACTGTGGGAGACCGAGGCAGGCGAATTGCTTGAGCCTAGGAGTTCAAGACCAGCCTGGCCAACATGGCAAAACCCTGTCTCTACAAAAAATACAAAAAATTAGCCAGGTGTGGTGGCACATGCTTGTGGTCCCAGCTACTGGGGAGGCTGAGATGGGAGGATCACTTGAGCCTGGGAGGTCGACGCTGCAGTGAGCCATGATCTTGCCATTGCATTCCAGCCTGGGTGACAAAGTAAGACCCTGTCTCAAATAAAATAAAATAAAATAAAATGAATAAAAATAAAAATCTCAGGAAAGAAGTTTACTGATTGGTGCTTCTAAGGACTGGTTTGCTTGTACCTGAGACACGTTGCCTACTATCAGTTTGGTCCTGCCTGCACTCTGGAGAAGCCACAAGAATCTTGACTTTTGCTCATACACGACACTGTTGCAATGCTGCTCCTCTTTGGAAGCTCTTTGGACAATTATAAATACTCTTTTTTTTGCAACTGCCCTGTATACAAATATATTTACAAATACATATAATCCCACGTGCTACTTCAAAGTTCTTACCTGGCACTATAGGACCAACTGCTATTGAATCTTCAAGATTGCTTTCACTTGTGGTTTCCTTTGAAAAATAAAATCTTTTCTTAAATCAAAATTTGTATAGGAGAGTGGTGCATCATGTTGTAATCATTGGAGACTAAACATCTTCTAAACACAGCCCACCCTCAAATATTTATGCTGATTGAAGGGAGGGGTGCTCCAAATATAAAGCAATTAATAATCTGCAAACATCTGCAGGAATGTGTGTTCCTCAGTGGTTCATATATGATACAATCCATGGGTGATACTATCCAGGTAACGAGAATCATAGTGTCTTGAGCAAGAAGGTTCCTCCAAAAGTCATTAGGTGCAGCCTCTGTCCTTGGTTAACTACATTTTTAATATTACACATCCAGTACTTAGAAAGGTTATGTTTCTTCCTTAAAAAATAAGCTATTTCTATATCCCCAAACTTTTTTCTTTAGTGCCATTTTTCAATTCATATAGAAAATGAATCACGTGAATAGCAAGTTGGTTTTTGTGTGTGTTGGGGGTGGGGGGATGACAAACATAACATACCTAACACACAGCCTCAAAATAAGGTGGTATATGTGTGCATTAAATTAGTAGTGGCTTAGATCCCAGAGAACTAGGTAGGATTTCTCAGCTTAAAGTGGTCAGCCTATTACCTGGGTTTATGATTTTGTTGGGCACTTGCTTTTGTTAAAGTAACATCTTCTCAACCCCTAAAAAGGCCAAGTAGCAAATCCAGCCTTATTGCCCTCCACATGAAGATCCAGAGAGGATCCATTTAGCCTGGATGCTAATCAACAAAGTCTAAGAGAGTCTGGGCCTTGAAGTAGAAGAGATTGACTATACATTTCATGAAGCTAGGTATTGTGCCCGACTGGTTTATTGTGATTTCCCCAATCTGTACCTAGAACATAACAGATGTTTAGTAGATGTTTGTAGAATTTATTAACTTATTTATGATGAGACATTCCTGTTCAAAACAGTTTTCAATTATATGATCATGTGCTGGTAAAACAGACAAGATGACGGTGTTCATTACCAGTAATTCACAAAGTTCACCACGGCTCTGAAGGTCTGGAGTCACTTCCGCAGAGGACTTCATATTTTGGAGAAATGGACAACTAAGTGTAAAAGTTAAAAGTTATAAAAATAGTTGTATGCATTTAAGTATTTGTGTTAGGTATTTTTGTTGTTGTTGTTGCTGTTGTTGTTTGTTTTGTTTTTTCAGAGACAGGGTCTCACTATGTTGCCCAGGCTGTTCTGGTTTCAAACTTCTGGCCTTGAGCAATTCTCCTCCCTAGGCATCCCAAAGTGCTGGGATGATAGGTGTGAGCCGCCAGGCCTGGCCTTGTATTAGGTTTTTAAAAACACTATTAGAGTTTTAGTGACAAGAATTAAGTATAAAACTATCATTTCCAGTGATTCTCTCTGTCAGTGTCATCAGGTAAGGCACTTAGGTTGTGGCTCTCTGCAAGAGAAATGTAAATGGTTTATAAAGTAATGGTAAAGGATATCAAGGGAATTTGGTGGAATGAGTGCGTATATGACACTCCTCCATGCAACCAACAAAAATGAACTTAAAGAATCAAAAATAGGAAAAAAAAAACCCTCTATTTATGAATTCTGGAACAAAAAACAACATAGTGGAAAAACTGGTGAAATCCAAATAAACTCTGGATTTTAGTAAATAGTAATGTACAGTATATGAATTGGTACACTGATGATTTTGACAAATATGCTAGTGTAAGATGTTAGCATTAGGGTAAATTGGGTATGGCAATATATAGGAACTCTTTGTATTACTTTGCACTTTCTGCAAATCTAAATAATTTCAAATAAAAATTTATTAAAAAAAGAAAAAAACTCTGTGAGTGCGGTGGTTCACACCCAAAATCCCAGCACTTTGGGAGGCCGAGGCGGGCAGATCACTTGAGGCCAGAAGTTTGAGACCAGCCTGGCCAACATGGCAAAACCCTGTCTCTATTAAAAAGAAAATTCCAAAATTAACCAGGCAGTGGTGGCGCACACCTGTAGTCCTAGCTACTTAGGAGGCTGGGGCACAAGAATCGCTTGAACCTGGGAGGCGGAGGTTGCAGTGAGCTGAGATTGTGCCACTGCACTCTAGTCTGGGCAATGGAGTGAGACTCTGTCTCAAAACAAAACAAAAAACAAACAAGGCCAGGCATGGTGGCTCACGCCTGTAATCCCAGCAGTTCGGGAGGCTGAGGCGGGTGGATCACTTGAGGTCAGGAGTTTGAGACCAACCTGACCAACATGGTGAAACCTCACCTCTACTAAAAATACAAAAATTAGCCGGGCGTTGTGGCGGACGCCTGTAATCCCAGCGACTTGGGAGGCTGAGGCAGGAGAATTGCTTGAACCCAAGAGGCAGAAGTTGAAGTAAGCCGAGATCGCACCATTGCACTCTAGCCTGGGCAACAGGAGTGAAACTCTGTCTCAAAAACAAACAAACAAACAAACAAAAAACTAACCAACCACAAACCACTCCATTGCCAGGTGCAATGGCTCATGCCTGTAATCCCAGCACTTTGGGAAGCCAAAGTAGGAGTTTCACTTGAGGCCAGAAGTTCAAGACCAGACCAACCTGTGCAACATAGAGAGACCTCCTCTAAAAATTAGCTAGCAGGGTGGCATGCATGTATAGTCCCAGCTACTTGGGGGTGCTGAGGCAAGAAGATCACTTGAGGCCAGGAGGTTGGGGCTACAGTGAGCCGTGATTGCATCACTGCACTCCAGCCTGGGTGACAGAGTAAGACCCTGTCTTAAACAAACAAAAAATTAAAAAAGAAACCCTCCGTCAGTATCAAAAGAAAAGAATGGCCACAAACATACTCTCTAAAAACTACTTGCCAATCTCGTGAAACTAGGACGCAAATACCCTCTAAACTCAGGTTTGATGTATGCTTGAAGAACAAGAGAGAAAGTTCAAAAAGAGCTCTAGTTGCAATTATTAAAATGGACAGATGAGAACTATACATGTGAGTAAGTCAGTGGCCTATTCCATGCTGTAGAATCACTGGAGAGCAGGAGTAAAGCAAAGGGACACTTTTTTTTTTTTTTTTTTTTTTTGAGACAAGGTCTCACTCTTTTGTCCAGGCTTGAGGGTAGTGACACGACCAAGGATCAATGTAGCCTCCAACTCCCAGGCTCAAGTGATCCTCCCACCTCAGCCTCCCAAGTAACTGGGACTACAGGCACGTGCCACCATGCCAGGCTAATTTTTTTTTTTTCTGGGCTCAAGGTATCCTCCCACCTCAGTTTCCCAAAGTGCTGGGATTACAGGCGTGAGCCACTGCATGTGGCCCAGATACTTCATTTGTATTGCCTTCAGGTGACTTGGCGATGAGTCCAGAAATAGAAGCATAGCTTCAGGAAAACAACAAGTAGAACTTTTAACGTTTCTGTCCAAAGTCAGCCATGTAGAGGTAAATAAAAACAAACCCATAGGGAAGGGGTGAAGTGGCTTACAAAAGAAAAAAAATATTTTAATAGGCCCATCAAGGAAAAGAACTATGAAGGAAGGTAAAATATAAACTTATTCATACAAACAAATGCCAAATAAAGTCAGTTGCCAGCATAACTGCACTACAAAAAATGTGAAAGGGACCAGGCACAGTGGTTCACCCCTGTAATCCCAGCACTTTGGGAGGCTGAGGCAGGCAGATCATGAGGTCAGGAGTTCAAGACCAGCCTGGCCAACATGGTGAAACTCTATCTCTACTAAAAATACAAAAATTAGCCTGGCATGGTGGTGGGCACCTGTAATCCTAGCTACTCAGGAGGTTGAGGCAGGAGAATCACTTGAACCCGGGAGGCAGAGGTTGCAGTCAGCCGAGATCGTGGCGCTGAACTCCAGCCTAGGAGACAGAGCAAGACTCCATCTCAAAAAAAAAAAAAAAAAAAAAAAAAAAAAGTGAAAGGAAGCACATCATTTAAAAGGAAAATGATAGCAGATGGAAATTTGGTTCTACTCAAAGGAATGAAAAGTACCAGGAATGATAAGATAACTAAGAGGGCAAATATGAAAGACTTTTGCCGTTGTAAAAATGTACTTAAATTGTTTAAAGCAAAGATATAACATTATATTGTAAGATTTATTAAAGTACATGGAAATAAAATGTATGACAATAGCACAAAGGATGAGAGGGGAGAAATGGAAATATACTATTGTATGGTTCATACATTTTATGTCAAGTGTTATATATTTTTTTGACCCAGAGTCTCACTGTGTCACCCAGGCTGGAGTGCAGTGGCACGATCTCAGCTTTCTGCAGCGTCTGCTTCCTGGGTTCAAGCAATTCTCGTGCCTCAGCCTCCCAAGCAGCTGGGATTACAGGTGTGCGCCACCACACCCAGCTAATTTTTTTGTATTTTTAGTAGAGACGGGGTTTCACCATGTTGCCCAGGTTGCTCTGGAACTCTTGACCTCAAGTGATCTGCCTGCCTCAGCCTCCCAAATTACCGGGATTACAGGCATGAGCCACTGCACCCAGCTGTTATAATATTTTTGAAGATTACTATGATATGTTAAATAGGCATATGGTAAACTCTAGAGCAAGTAGTAAAAAGGTAAAATAAGGATTAATAGCTAATAAGCTGACAGAAATAAAATGGAGTACAAAAAAAAATACTCAAGGAGGGGGTAGAAAAAAGAAAAAAAAAAAAACCCTAAACCCTAGGAAGTCAGGAAAAGAAAAAGAAACAAAGAAGTGATGAAATAAATAGAAAGCAAATGGTAAAATAGGTTTAAATCCAACCATATTCATAATTGCATTAAATTTAAACGTTCTAAACATTCCAATTAGAAAGCAGTTATTGTCAGACTCTTAAAAAGCAAGACCTGGCCAGGCGTGGTGGCTTACGCCTGTAATCCCAGCACTTTGGGAGGCCAAGGCAGGTGGATCATGAGGTCAGGAGATCGAGACCATCCTGGCTAACACGGTGAAACCCCGTCTCTACTAAAAATACAAAAAATTAGCCAGGTGTGGTGGCGGGGTGCCTGTAGTCCCAGCTACTCGCGAGGCTGAGGCAGGAGAATGGTGTGAACCCAGGAGGCGGAGCTTGCAGTGAGCCAAGATCGTGCCACTGCACTCCAGCCTGGGCGACAGAGCAAGACTCCGTCTCAAAAAAAAAAAAAAAAGAGAAAACCTGGCTGGATGTGGTGGCTCACACCTCCATCTCAAAAAAAAAGCAAGACCTGCTGGGTTCAGTGGTCCACACCTGTAATCCCAGCACTCTGGGAAGACAAGGCAGGAGAATTGCTTGTGGCTAGGTGTTCGAGATCAGACTGGGCAACATAGTGAGACCTTGTCTCTATAAAAAACTAACAAACTTAGCCAGGCTTGGTGGCATGTGCCTGTAGTCCCAGCTACTCAGGAGTCTGAGGTGGGAGGATTGCTTGAGCCTGGGAAGTCCAGGCTGCAGTGAGTCAAGACTGCACCACTGCACTCCAGCGTAGGCAACAGAGCGAGTCTGTCTCATAAACAAATAAAAAATAAAATAAAAGACCCCACTGTGTTGTTGCCTATAACAATTCACTTTAAGGCTGGGTGCAGTGGCTCATGCCTGTAATCTCAACACTTAGGGTGGCAGAGGTGGGAGGACAGCTTGAGCCCAGGAGTTTGAGATCTGCCTGGGCAACATAGTGAGACCCCGTTACCCACAAAAAGGAAAAGGAAAAAACAAGAATTGACTTTAAATATAGTCACAGATAGATTAAAAAGAAAATAATCTAAAAGATGTAACATGAAAAAACTAATAAAGGCCTAAAAAATACTATCAAGGATAAAGAGGGATATTTCTGTTTTTTAGAGACAAAGTTTTACTCTGTCACCCAGGCCACAGTACAGTGGCACAATCATAGCTCATTGCAACCTATACTCCTGAGCTCAAGCGATTCTCCTGCCTCTGCCTCCCAGGTAGCTGGGACTACAGATGCATGCTACCACACCCTGTTTGTTTTAAAAATTTTTTGTAGAAATGGAGTCTAGCTATGTTGCAAAGGCTAGTCTCAAACTCCTCGCCTTGTGCACTCCTCCCACCTCAGCCTCCCAAAGTGCTGGGATTATAGGTGTGAACCACCATGCCTGCTTGGGATATTTAATATATTCTCTGGAATATGAAAGACCAAAGGGCAAAAAAATAGCTAAGACACACTCTTGAAGAGAAAGAACAAGACTATTCTGCAGGAAAATATGAAAATAAGCTCAACTGCCGGGCGCGGTGGCTCACACCTGTAATCCCAGCACTTTGGGAGGCTGAGGTGGGTGGATCACCTGAGGTTGGGAGTCCGAGACCAGCCTGACCAACATGGAGAAACCCCATCTCTACTAAAAATACAAAATTAGCTGGGCGTGGTGGCACATGCCTGTAATCCCAGCTACTCGGGAGGCTGAGGCAGGAGAATCACTTGAACCTGGGAGGCGGAGGTTGTGGTGAGCCGAGATCGTGCCATTGCACTCCAGCCTGGGCAACAAGAGTGAAACTCCGTCTCAAAAAAAAAAAAAGAAAGAAAAAAAGAAGAAGAAAATAAGCTTAACATTATTAGTAATTACACTGACAAAAATTAAAATTTGGGCAATACCAAGTTAGTGAGGAAGCAAATCAATAGAAACGCATCTAGGCCAATGGGAATGTAAATCAGTGCAACCACTTGGGAAAAAGCTTTGCATTATCTAGTGGAGTTGAACACCCGCAAAGTTCTATGACTCTGCAATTCTTTACTTTGTTATGTATCCTAGAGAAACACACATGAGCACTGGAAAATATGTACAAGAATGTTCATAGGGCATTATTTGAATTTGCAACACTCTGAAAACGACCCACGAGGTTAATCAACAGTAAAATAAGTTATTATATATTCATAAAATAATACACTATTTACCAATGAAAACAAGTGAACTACAACTGTGTAGTACATATAAATATGGATGAATCTCAAAAACATCGTGGAGTAAAACCAGCCAATTACAAGAAGAATCATGCAGTATGCTTCTTATTTGAACTTCAAGAATAGACAAAGCTAAATATGTTTAAGGATGTATATGTAGTTGGTAAAACCACAAAGAGAAGCAAGGGAATAATTAACCCAAACTGAGCATCACATTTACCTCTGGATTGGAGGGACAGGGATATAATCAGAATTAGGGGGTGGTTGGCATGCAGAGTTGTTTTTTGTTTTTTGATTTTTTTTTTTTGAGACAGAGTCACGCTCTGTCGCCCAGGAGTGCAATGGCGCCATCTTGGCTCACTGCAACTTCCGCCTCCCAGGTTCAAGCCATTCTCCTGCCTCAGCCTCCCTAATAGCTGGGACTACAGGCGTGTGTCACCAGGCCCGGTTAAATTTTTCTGTTTTTTAACAGAGATGGGGTTTCACCATGTTGCCCAGGCTGGTCTCGAACTCTTGAGCTCAGACAATCTGCCCACATCGGCCTCCCAAAGTGCTGAGATTACAGGCGTGAGTCACTGCACCCGGCCGCAGGGGTCTTTTAAGGCATTGATAATGTCCAATTTCTTGACTTTACTAGGAGGTTCATAGGTTGCTTTTTATTCATTCTTTAAAGCATACATAAAAATTTTAGGTAATCATTTGGAGACATACTGGTTTGCAGTTTTTTTAAGAGGAAAAGGAAGAGTAAAAATCCAAAAAGGAGTTGGCTGGGAGCAGTGGCTCATGCCTGTAATCCAAGTACTTTGGGAGGCTGAAGCAGAAGGATCATTTGGAGCCAGGAGTTTGAGACCAGCCTGGGCAACAAAGCAAGACCCCATCTCTACAAAAAAAAAACTTTAAAAAATTAGTCGGGCATGGTGACACATGCTTGTAGTCCTAGCTACTTGGGAGGCTGAGGTGGGAGGATCACTTGAGCCCAGGAATTTGAGGCTACAGTCAGCTAGGATTGTACCACTGCACTTGCTCCAGCCTGGGTGACAGAGCCGAGACCCAGTCTCTTAACAAAAAAACACTAAAGGCCAGGTGTGGCGGCTCACACCTGTAATCCCAGCACTTTGGGAGGCTGAGGCAGGAGGATCACTTGAGGTCAGGAGTTCAAGACCAGCCTGGCCAACATGGTGAAACCCCGTCTCTACTAAAAGTACAAAAAATTAGCCAGGCATGGTGGGGAGGTACCTGTAATCCCAGCTACTTGGGAGGCTGAGGCAGGAGAATCGCTTGAACCCGGGAGGCGGAGGTTGCAGTGAGCCGAGATCACGCCACTGCACTCCAGCCTGGGTGACAGAGTGAGACTCCATCTCCAAAACAACAACAACAAAACACTAAAACTAATAATAATAATAATAGTATAAAAGGGAGTTGATCGATTCCAGAGTAAGTTCTAAATAAGACTAGACTGCATCCTAGCTTATCCTTCCAAGAATTAAGTAGAATGTCCCCATTGTTCTCAATAATTTATTATACACTAAGCCCAAATAAGAAAGAAAAATGAGGTAACTACTGCTATCAAAATACCTTCAAGGCAATAAAATTAGATAGAAGTATTCATTTTGTTTTATTTTTGTTTTTACCACTATACAAATGAGCAGGAAGCATTCATTTTAAAATCTGTATGTGTTCATATTCATTTCTAAAAAAAAAACTCTTACTAATTACATAGTGAAAACACAAATTTCTTCTTGCAATTAAACATTTCTAAAGAGTTTGATGGGTAAAAAAAAATTAAGTTTAAAGATTCATAGAAAAGAAATATTTCTTCATAAAATTTTAGAACAGATATTTTTCTGAAAGCTTCCAGCAGAGGAAAAAAAAAATTTTGTTTGCAGTAAAAGGATTGACAAGCAGAAAGGCATGGAACTTCTCGACAGCACATTAGGAACCAGTAGAAATGTAGCAGTGCCTCTACAATTTAGAATTAAAATGACTTCCAACCTATAATTCTACACCTAGCTAAACTATCAAATAAGTGTGAGAATACAGGAAAAACATATATCTAGATAGATCTATATGTCTGTATATGCATTATATGCAACTAAAAGTGTGTATTTCTTATGCAGTCTTTCCCAGGGAACTCCGATGAAGTGTTCCAACAAAATGAGCAAGTGAACCAAGAAGAGGATGACATTAGATCCAGGAGATACAACAGAGGAGATAATCTCCAGGATGCCTGTGAAGAAAGATCCCTGGATCCCAGGATGATTATAGGACAAGTTGTTCATAATCCAGCAGGCCAGAAGACTTCCAGGGAAACTCATTCAAGGAGGTGAAAATGATGGATGACTCCTCCAAGATGAAAATGGACCAGCCGCAGTGGCTCACGCCTGTAATACCAGCACTTTGGGAGGCTGAGGCAGGCGGATCACTTGAGGTCAGGAGTTTGAAACTAGCCTGGCCAACGTGGCAAAACTCCATCTCTATTAAAAATACAAAAATTAGCCAGGCATAGTGGTGCATGCCTGTAGTCCCAGCTACTTGGGATGCTGAGGCAGGAAGAATTGCTTGAACCTGGGAGGCAGAGTCTGCAGTGAGCCGAGATCATGCCACTGCACTCCAGCCTGGGTGACAGAGCCAGACTCCGTCTCAAAAAAAAAAGAAAAAGAAAAAAAAAATGATGACTCTTTCAAGAAATGAAAATGATGAGATATCTGGTAGGTCTGAATGACTTAAGAGGAGATTTAAACATTTGGGATAAGTTGAAGATGAGCTGGTGTTCGTCTTCATTTATTTCATTTAAATAAATAAAATTATTAATACATGAATTTTATCTCAAGAAACAAAAATAAGCAATGTACATAAAAATTAAGCAGATGGCTGGCCGGGCGCGGTGGCTCACGCCTGTAATCAGAGCACTTTGGGAGGCTGAGGCGGGTGGATCACGAGGTCAGGAGATGGAGACCATCCTGGCTAACACGGTGAAACCCCGTCTCTACTAAAAAAATAAATAAAAAATAAATTAGCCGGGCGTGATGGCAGGTGCCTGTAGTCCCAGCTACTCGGGAGGCTGAGGCAGGAGAATGGCATGAACCCAGGAGGCGGAGGTTGCAGTGAGTGAGATCACGCCATTGCACTCCAGCCTGGGCGACAAAGTGAGACTCCATCTCAAAAAAAAAAAAAAAAAAAAAAAAAAATTAAGCAGATGGCTATAATTTTTTTAAAAATAGAAAAGTGTTGATGAGAAATGGGAAACCTCATACATTGTTGGTCAAACTGTATGCTTCCATTTAGAGGAAATAGTCAGAACAAATAAATCCATAGACACCAATTAGGTTGGTGTATCCCAGGGGCTGGGCATGGAGTGGGGTGGAGAGAGAAGGAGGGCCTGCTTAGTGGATACAGAGTTTTCTTTCTTTGGGGGCGATGAAAGTGTTTTGGAACTAGATAGAGGGGGTGGTTGCACAACATTGTTGTTGGTGGGAATTTAAAATGGTGCAAGCACTGTGGAAAAAACAGTTTAGCATTTCCTCAAAAAGTTAAAACAGGCCAGGCGCTGTGGCTCACGCTTGTAATTCCAGCACTTTGGGAGGCCAAGCCAGGTGGATCACTTGAGGTCAGGAGTTTGAGACCAGCCTAGCCAACATGGTGAAACCCTAAAAATACAAAAAATTAGGCGGGCATGGTGGCAGACACCTGTAATCCCAGCTACTCAGGAGACTGAGGCAGGAAAATTGCTTGAACCTGGGAGGCGGAGGTTGCAGTGAGCTGAGATTGCACCGCTGCACTCCAGCCTGAGTGACAGAGTGAGACTCTGTGTGAGAAAAAAAAAAAAAAAGTAAAAACATAGAATTACTATACAGCTAGCAATATCGTTGTTAGGTATATGCCCCAGAGACTTGAATACAGTTACATGCTCCATCAGATACCTGTACCCAAATGTTCCTATCGGTATTACTCATGGTAGCCAAAAGGTAGAAACAACCCAAATATCTACAAATAGATGAATGGATAAATAAAATGCAGTGTATCCATATGGAATATTACTTGGTCTCAAAAGGAAGGAAGTACTTATGCAAGCTACAACATGGATAAACTTCAAAACAATATGCCAAGTGAAAGAATCCAAATGCAAAAGGTCAAACGGTATGCTTCCATTTAGAGGAAATAGTCAGAACAAATAAATCCATAGACACCAATTAGGTTGGTGTATCCCAGGGGCTGGGCATGGAGTGGGGTGGAGAGAGGAGGGGGGCCTGCTTGATGGATACAGAGTTTTCTTTGGGGGCGATGAAAGTGTTTTGGAACTAGATAGAGGGGGTGGTTGCACAACATTGTGAATGTACTATAATAAATGCCACAGAATTGTGTACTCTAAAATGGTTTAATTGCTGTGCATGGTGGCTCACGCCTATAATCCCAGCACTTTGGGAAGCCAGGATGGGAAGACTGCTTGAGCCTAGAAGTCTGAGAGCAGCCTGGGCAACATAGAGAGACCCTGTCTCTTAAAAAAAGAAAAAAAAATTAGCTGGGTGTGAAGACATGTGCCTGTAGTCCCAGCTACTTGGGAGGCTGAGCGAGGAAGATTGCTTGAGCCAGAGAGGTCAAGGCTGCAGTGAGCCATGATTGCACCACTGCACTCCAACCTGGGCAAGAGAGAGAACCTGTCACAAAAAATAATAAATAAATAAATAAAATGGTTACTACCTGAATTTTACCTCAGGAAAAAAAAATAAGCTAACATACCAACAGGACAGTTATTACTTCCTAAAAAAATAAAAGGATATACAGGAAGGGAAAAATAAATAAAAATTTACCACAAGCTTCAGCTCCACATAGCATTTGTATAGTCATGATAATGTAAACATGTAATGTGAATATATGAATCTAGCCAAAACTATGCCATAACTATAAAGAGGGGAAGGCTAGTACAGGAAGGGGGTCATGGAGCAAAGGGATGAAAGACATGAAGACTCATCCTTCATAGCCTGAATCCGAGGAGTGGATAAAGACTCAATCTAAAGATAAAATAAGGCAGGAAATGAGGAAAAAGAAAAAAACTGTTGAAGTGCATCCAAAGTTGCAGATGGTTAACATTCATTCCACTCACTTGGGAAAACATCTGGTGTGATCGTCTAATGGGTCATCACCTTCCTGCCATTTCTCTAAACACCCTCCACAGGAAAAGCACTGGACGATGTCCTTTATACCTAAAAGTAAGGAAACTTGATCAGTGCCACTGGCATGGGCATCTGTCCATTAACATGCAGATAATAACCACCAGACCTGTAATAGTGAAAGCCTATTCAGTCTCCAGTTGGGTTTTGTGACAGTCAGAAGTTGGTTACCAGTGAGGCAATTTTCTATATAAGACTCTGTCCACCAATGGGGTAACTGGCAAGTAGTCATTGAATGCTCCTACACACCATGCACTTTGATGCACACCATCCCTCTGCCCCATTCTCCTTTGATCAACAAACAGATTGGCAACCAGAATCTGGAATTGAAGCTCCATGAGGGGGCTGGGCGCAGTGGCTCATGCCTGTAATCCCAGCACTTTGGGAGGCCAAGGCCAGCGGATCTCCTGAGGTCAGGAGTCTGAGACCAGCCTGGCCAACACGGTGAAACCCTGTCTCTACTAAAAATACAAAAATTAGCTGGGCATGGTGGCACATGCCTGTAATGCCAGCTACTCAGGAGGCTGAGGCACAAGAATCGCTTGAACCCAGGAGACGGAGGTTGCAGTGAACCAAGATAACGCCATTGCACTCCAGCCTGGGCAACAAGAGTGAAACTCTGTCTCAAAAAATAAAAATAAAAATAAGCTCTATGAGGGTAGAGGTTTTTGCTCACTAATGAATGACATGAACCTAGAAAAGTGCTTGACACTCATGTGGCACTCAATTAGTATTCGTTTAATGAATGAATCAGAAAGAATATATTTAGAGCTCACGGAAAAAAAAATACCAGCAAATCTAGCAGCCCTTATGTAAGTGAATGCATGAAGAATTAATTGCCTCTTACCACATTATTGCCATGTTTATTACACCAGAAATAGGATTAAGTCTCTTTGTGAAATTATATTTCTTTGGAAAGAAATTGGTATTTAGCTCTGCAAAAGGATCAAACTAGAAACAGAGCATTTCTCATCTTCCTTCCACTCTGGGAAAGCTGGGGCAGAGGAAAGCCTCCCAGAAATATGAGATCCTAGAGCTTGCAAGATCTGAAAACAGTCAGAGATGATTAGGATTTGTGTGGAGTGGTGGAGGATTGGAAAGGAAGAGGGGGAGCACACTGGTCAGAGGGGTCTTGCGGAAGGCTGACAAGAGGAAGACACAGTAGAGTAGGGAGAAATGGCAAACACTCTTTCCAAAGGCTTAAGATTGTGAGGCAGTCAGATTTTTTTTTTTCCAATGGCACATGTCTGTTAGGTAGAGTGACAACTATATTCTGCTTCTCTGTGTTGCTCTATGGTATTTGTGACAACTACTTGATCTCTCAGTTAAAGATCTGCATTAACCTCCACTGTAACTTATGCATGTGTTCGGTTTGAGCAAGACCAGCAAGGTACCTAGGAACCTTTCCCTGATCATCTTGTATTTCAGGCAGAGATTTAGCTGACAGGAACCAGCCCATCATTTATAGATTGCAGAGGTGCTTCCTAATGACCAGCAGCTAAAGAGAAAATGCCACAATCTGGTGGAAGGCTCTACGTGTTTAGGAATCATGAAAATTAATTTCCTGATTTTCTCCTGCAGGCAGAATGTGGCAAAGATTGCTATCCATGTTCCTATTATCTCAAATCCTTCCATACTAATAGAAATCCCAATATTTAGCTGGGCACATTGTCACCCAGGAAAAAGATTAGGTTTCCCAGCTCCTCTTACAGCTAGGTATGGTCATCTGACTAATAATAATAATAATAATAATAATTATTATTATTATTATTATTATTATTATTATTATTATTATTTTTGAGACAGAGTTTCACTCTTGTTGCCCAGGCTGGAGTGCAATAGCATGATCTTGACTCCCCGCAACCTCCACGTCCCAGGTTCAAGCGATTCTCCTGCCTCAGCCTCCCAAGTAGCTGGGATTACAGGCACCCGCCACCATGCCTGGCTAATTCTTTGTATTTTTAGTAGAGACAGAGTTTCACCATATTGGCCAGGCTGGTCTCAAACTCCTGACCTCAGGTGATCCACCCACCTCGGCCTCCCAAAGTGCTGGGATTACAGGCGTGAGCCACCATGCCCGGCCCATCCAACTAAGTTCTGATTAAAGAAATATAAGCAGAAGTGTCCTGTGACAGTTTCTAGGAGCACTTTGTCAGGGGACAAGAGGTGAGGAGAGTAATGTGTAGAAAGAAAAGACATGATAATTATCACAAATAGAATACTTGTATTCATTGTTAGTCCAGACCTTAAGGTTTCAAATTTGAAGGTTTACCACCTAAGGGAGGAATAGAAAACTGGGAGAGGATTTATGATGCAGGAAAGAAAAGAGATGTATGCCAGGTGCAGTGGCTCACACCTGTAATCCCAGCATTTTGGGAGGCCAAGGCAGGAGGATTACTTGAGCCCAGGAGGTTGAGGCTGCAGTGAGCCATGATCTCGCCACTGCCCTCCAGCCTGGATGACCATGTCTCAAAAAAAATAGAAAGAAAAGAAAACGAATCTATAAGAAATGCTGAAGAGAGGCCTGGCGCGATGGCTCACACCTGTAATCCCAGCATTTGGGAGGCCAAGGCGGGCAGATCACGAGATCAGGAGATCAAGAGCATTCTGACTAGCATGGTGAAACCCTGTCTCTACTAAAAATACAAAAAAGTAGCTGGGCGTGGTGGCAGGCGCCTGTGGTTCCAGCTACTCCAGAGGCTGAGGAAGGAGAATCTCTTGAACCCGGGAGGTGGAGGTTGCAGTGAGCCAAGATCTGCATTCCAGCCTGGGCAACTCTGTCTCCAAGGGGGAAAAAAAAAGAAAAGAAAAAGAAACGCTGAAGCTAGTGGACATTGCTGAGTGTAGCTAAACGTAAGCCCAGGAGCATAAAGTCTATGTGGGAATTAAAGGTCAAGCAAGCAAGTGGGCACAACCTACTGACTCACCTGTGTAGAAAAGACCTGCTTTGGCCAGTGCTGCAACTCCCACAGCTGATTCCCGGGGCCAGTCCTTAAAAGAGTCCAGCCGTAGTTCTTCGTAAGCAAAGATGCTGTCATTGCAATAAGCTTGAATAAAAAGCACAAGGTGAGACCAGCAGGCTTTAGTCTTTTTTTTTTCTATATCTTTATTGCTGCTGCACAAATTAAAGAGACCAGTAGGCTTTGATATTGCAAGTATCAGCGTTCAAGTTGTCCCTTCACAGTTACAGATGGAATGATGTCTAGAGTTTGCTTCAAAATAAACGGGGCGGGGCGGGGGGGACGACAAAAAGAGATAGGGACAAAAAATCAAAAGAAGAAATAAACAAGCAAAGCCTTTGGAAAATGTTTGAGTTTTTACCTGATGCCATAGGTAATTCTCTCTGGACCCAGGAATTCACAAAATGTTCTCCCTGAGGGAAATTAAAATTCAAGTTGTTGATTATCTGACTTTTTTTTTTTTTTTTTTTTTTGAGGCAGAGTCTCACTCTGTTGCCCAGGCTGAAGTGCAGTGGCAGGTTCTCGTCTCACTGCAACCTCCGCCTCCTGGGTTCAAGTGATTCTCCTGCCTCAGCCTCCCGAGTAGTACAGGCATGTGCCACCACACCCGGCTAATTTTTTTTTTTTTTGTATTTTTAGTAGAGACAGACACGATGTTGGAGGTCTTTTTTTTTTTTTTTTTTTTTTTTTTTTGAGACAGAGTCTCGCTCTGTCGTCCAGGCTGGAGCACAGTGGCACTTGGCTCACTACAAGCTCTGCCTCCCAGGTTCACGCCATTCTCCTGCCTCAGCCTCCCGAGTAGCTGGGACCACAGGCGCCTGCCACCATGCCGGGCTAATTTTTTTTTTTTTTTGTATTTTTAGTAGAGATGGGGTTTCACCATGTTAGCCAGGATGGTCTCTATCTCCTGACCTCATCATCCGTCCGTCTCGGCCTCCCAAAGTGCTGGGATTACAGACGTGAGCCACTGCACCCGGCCCATGTTGGAGGTCTTGAGGCTGGTCTCGAACACCTGATCTCAAGTGATCTGCCCAGCTCGGCCTCCCAAAGGGCTGGGATTACAGGCATGAGCTACTGCGCCCAGCCTGATTGTTTGACTTATGAAGTATATACCTATCTATGAACAAGAACTGAAGGAACTTTACCCCAGAATGAAGAGTTTCACTGGATGGAACGGCAGAGTCGGAGGAGAATTATTCCTTTAATTTTTATTTCTGTTGATGTTGCAATTGTTTTTATGCAGTGCAAGCAAACATACACACACACACACACACACACACACACACGCATGCAAGCTGTGAATGTTTATGCATACTCAGGAGGAAGCCTTCTCAGGGTCACTGTTTCCGGAAACTGACCTTGAAAACAGACCTGCATTTAAATATCACAGATGTACTTTGACGAATGAGGAAGTAAGAGACATAGAATGGTAACTAAATTCATCAGGGTATTATATATTGAGCAACTGATTCTTCTGGGAAAGCTGCACCCAGTTTCTTTTTGAGGAAACACCTCTCTTCCCCCACTGTCAGGCCATGTTCTCTATAGAGTTCTGGTCTCCTGAGTCATGTTAATCAATAAATTCTCATTTTTGTTTAAGCCAGTTTGGATTCGATTTCCCATCACTCTCCACTAGGAAATTTTTACTGATTCAGGATAGTTAGCCAGCTAGGAAGAGCCAGCTCTGCAGCCCACTGTGGGTGACAGCGCCTAGGTCAGGAGATCTTAGCAAGCCTGCAGATAGGGGCAGCAGAGGGAAGCTGGGGCAAGTGGCTTCATTCATAAAGGGGAAGACTATCAGGAAGGCAAGCAGAGCCCGTCAGAAGCCAGCCCTGGAAAAAGAAAAAGGCTCTAGGTCAGCAAGTGAATGTGATATTTTTCACTTTGAAGATGGGAGCCAGGGGAATGAAAGGAGAAAGGAAGAAAGAAATCAAACCCATGACATAAAAAGAATGCCTATGCCCTTCTGAGTCAGACACTTACAGGTAATCCAAAAACTTGAGAAAAAAATTGCTGTTATACATTACCGTTATGTCAACAAATCCCTTGTAGCTTTGAATATACTGGGTAATTTCCTCTGAGGATTTCTTACTCCGAAGAAATTCACATCTGTAATTAATAAATATAATTAAAATTTACCCCAGTACTGTGATAGAGCTGTCCTATATCACAATGAACATTTATAAAGACGTATTGAATTGTTGAATTTTATTATACTTCAATAAAATTGCCAAAAAATTTACCACAAAACTTAGGAGAATTACCATTATTCTCATATAATTATTTGTTATTTCTATTAGTGACAACATGTGTAGTTATTTAAAATTAAATCTTCAGGTTAACTTTTTTCTTGAAATAAAACATGCAATACAATCAAAGAGACTGATTTACAGTAAATATAGGATGGAGCTTTTGTTTTTTGGAATTAAGCAGTGGTGACTAAATCTAGTCGCTAGGGTTATATGAAAGCTACTGGCAGTAAAGAGAACTATATTTAAAATAATAGGCCAGACGCAGTGGCTCACATCCAGGAGTTCAAGACTAGCCTGGGCAACATGGCAAAACCCCATCTCCACAAAAAATACAAAAATTAGCCGGGCATGGTGCCACACCTCTGTAGTCCCAGCTACTCAGGAGGCTGAAGGGGGAGGATCACCTGAGCCCGGGGAGGTAGAGGCTGCACTGAGCCATGATCAGGCTGCTACACTCCAGCCTGGGCAACAGACTGAGACCCAGTCTCAAAAGTAAATACAAAAAATCTTTTTAAGATAACAATATATTTATCTACTGAACAAAAAATTACCATGCATTAAAAAGTAATGGCTATTAGGCCAGGCGTGATGGCTCACGCCTGGAATCCCAGCACTTTGGGAGGCCGAGACAGGTGGATCACGAGGTCAGGAGTTCGAGACCAGCCTGGCCAAGATGGTGAAACCCTGTCTCTACTAAAAGTACAAAAATTAGCTGGGTGTGGTGGCGGGCGCCTGTAATCCCAGCTACTTGGGAGGCTGAGGCAGGAGAATCGCTTGAACCTGGGAGGTGGAGGTTGCAGTGAGCTGAAATCATGCCACTGCACTCTAGCCTGGGCAACAGAGCAAGACTCAATCTCAAAAAAAACCAAAAACAAAAAAAGTAACGGATGTTAATGGATAATTTTTGATTTTTTTAAAAAAGAGCACACTGAATACCATTTAAAAACATATTCCTTTCCCATAAAAGAGAAGCAGTTTTAAAATTAACTTTTAAAATTTCCTCCAATTCAGCTGGGCATGGGGGATCATGCCTGTAATCCCAGCACTTTTGGAGGTTGAGGCGGGTGGATCACTTGAGGCCTGGAGTTTGAGACCAGCCTGGTCAACATGGTGAAACCCTGTCTCCATCAAAACTACAAAAATTAGCCTGGCATGGTGGCATGCGCCTTGTAGTTCCAGCTGCTCTGGAGGCTGAGGCAGGAGAATTGCTTGAACCCGAGAGGTGGAGGTTGCAGTGAGCCGAGATCACGCCACTGCACTCCAGCCTAGGCAACGAGAGCGATACTTCGACTCAAAAAAAGAGAAGTTATCTCTAGGTAAGATCATGATGGAAATTTTCATCTTACTTTATACCTTTCACTGTTGAAATTATTTTACAGTTGAAGTAAAGGAAATTTTACAATATCCAACAAGAGCCGATGTCATTTATTTAATATCAAAATTAATATTGGAAAAATGTCTATACTTTAGGCTACCACCCATCTGCCTGAATTAATCAGCATTAATACTTAATTTTAAATATTACCTGTCAACGCAGGTCACTGAATGTGATCTCCTTTAAGGTATTATCATGTAATAAACTGCTACAAAAAGTCTAATTCTCTCAAGAGTTTTATAGTCATCCACTTCATTTTCAGGTCAACATTTTAACATATTTTCCCATATTTTTTTCTGAAGCTTTAATCTCTGCAAAGCCCATCTTTAAATTTGAAGGAAAAGGTAGAAGAGTGAGGAGCAGCAGTAATTAACTTGAATTTGGAACTTGGATATAACTAAAGACACATTTTGCTTCTTCATTTTTATGTCAGTTTGCAAAGGAAACAGTTATGATTTTAGCTAAATACAGAAATTTTTTTTTTTTCTTTTTAAAATTCTACTTGTATCCATTTCAAAACCTACTCTGAATTTTCACTCAGTTCCCACAATATTACCATAATTCTTTGAGCTGTTGGCAAAATGGATCCATTTTATAAAGTCATGCCTTTTGCATTGAGCTTTTGCCTGTCTCATATATTTAGATAAATTTGAAAGCAAAAGGAATATCCACTGTGTTGAATATCTTTAATAGCATGGTTGAAATTTATAATTTGAAATTCGTAAGTTCAAAGAACATTTATCTACTGCTTGATTTTATGCTTGAAACTTCCTATGCTTCACAGCAGTTTTTTTTTTTAATAGGTGGACAAAAATCCTTCCTCCTATCATTCATAACAATTTTCTTTATACTTAAGTAAAATATACAGAAACTTTTAAAGGAACGCCAAAATCTTGTTCCCTCTTATTGTTGCCACATTATTTTTATTATATTACCCAACCAGGTTTTTATGGTTATGCTTATACTCTCATACAAAACAGTTTTAGAACAAATATTGAAGGAAATGCAGGGTCACAAAATGAATAAGTTTACCTTAATAACATTAATATGAACAATGATATTATTTTATTGAACTTAAAGCACGCTCTTGAGCTTAAGAGCAAAGATGTAGCCACAGTTGAACTTGTATTTATTTGGGCTATATTTGTGCTTTTAATTACTCATACTAATACACAGGAAGCTTATTTGCAACAGGATATTTATATAATTTAAAATATTTTCAGAGTTTTTGTGTGTGTTGAAATGTTAGGAAAACAGAACTCATTCTTAAGCAATGATTTGCAAAGAGCAGTGCTCATATGCAGATTTTTAAGGCATAGCCCAAATGGTTAGAAATGCTGCAAAAGTTTAATTTTCTTTTGGGTGATCTGTTGTCTGGAAAAAGCTGTTACATGTAAAAATTTGGATGCTGAAATCAAATGGCTATACCCAAATGAGCAAGAATAGTTTAAAACATTTAAATCAGCATCTGCATAAAAATTAATATAAATATTATTTATGACTGTTATGTATATATGTATATATAATTATATTATGTATAAGAATATATTTATACAAATATATACTACTAGAAAATTGTATATGATGCACTATTTTATTTTATGTAATATTTTATGTATATATTTATTTACACATAATTTATATACTTTTAAGACTGTGTCCATTTTTCATTTATTCTTGGTCTCCGGTTTGAACAACGCTGCTTTATGGCATTACACTGATAATTCTCTCTACTCTTTAGTTCTCTTCCTTATCGCTTATTCATGTGTATCTTATTCCATGCTATAATGTAATGTACCATACATGTGTTGAATTTTAAAAAAAAATTAGCAGAATTTCAATGCTTTCCTATATTACTCAACATAAATATTCTCTATATAGAATGAATTGGAACAAGCTATTTTGAATCTGAAAGGATAATCAGTGATTCTACCAATCATAGTGGTAAACTCATTCAAACTCAGCCTGTTAAAATGAGACGCTCTGCCCTATATCACTGAAAACCTCTTGATTTGCCAGATTTTTCCCTTCTTTACAAATGAAAATGCTTAGTGTTTTCTGAGTTCCTTTGCACTATCTCCCACTGGATTCAGGTCATTGATTTCATCTTCAGAACACTTGGAAAGTTTATTTTGTGGTGTCTATGAGCTAATTTATTTTTATTGCAATGTTTATTTAAAATGAAACAATAAGTACACTGAAGTTTTGTGCATTTCATTTTATGAAAATGTTATCCCAAAGGGATACAGAAGAACTAAATACAAATTTTCAAAATTTATTGTTTTTTTTTGCCTGCTGCTATATCTGAGGTTGTACTTTTGTTCTGATCTTTGTAACACCTCAAAAAAAAAATGGGTTAAGAGAAGGATGAACAGAAGAATGGATATGAGACCTATCTGATAAGGCAAGCAGATTAATAGACGAATGGAGGAATGTTTGGATGTATAGGTATATATGTGTTCATTGCACACATATGGAGGAATGTTTGGATGTATATGTATATGTGTTCATTGCACAGTTTTCAACTTTTTGTGTTGAAATTTTTATAAAAAGAAGTTGGAGAAATAAAAAACAAGAAAACAGAACCATAAGATTTTTATTTAACATTTTTGATTAAAGGAATTGTATTGCAAATTATGACTTTTTAATTTGGCAACATCCTTTTAATGGTGTTCTTTCTTTGTCCTTCTCTTTCTCTTCCTCTCTCTCTCCCTCTCTTCCCTAAAGCTCCATTCCGACTTAGACAAGGGAGAGGGCACTGCGAAATACACCCTCTCAGGAGATGGCGCTGGCACCGTTTTTACCATTGATGAAACCACAGGGGACATTCATGCAATAAGGAGCCTAGATAGAGAAGAAAAACCTTTCTACACTCTTCGTGCTCAGGCTGTGGACATAGAAACCAGAAAGCCCCTGGAGCCTGAATCAGAATTCATCATCAAAGTGCAGGATATTAATGATAATGAGCCAAAGTTTTGGGATGGACCTTATGTTGCTACTGTCCCAGAAATGTCTCCTGTGGGTGAGTAGGCAAATCAAAATTCTGTGAGATACAATGAGACCTCTTCAACATTGACTTTTTGCAGGTTGATGTAAACATCTTATCTATCATCTAAAAGAATTATTTTTCAATTCTAGAAAATACAGTTCTTTTCATTTATTTTTGTAACTTTTTTGTTTTTCTTTCTGCTTCATTATGAAGATAACTACAGGAATATATAACATTAGTTCCTGTTTTCCACCCTGTGAATTTACCTGAATTCATAGAATCCTTGCGTGCTTTAAGCAAAAAATGTATTTTGTATTGAAATTGATTCTTATCTCAATTCCAGACACCTATACAGTGCTGGAGACACCTACCTTACACCACGAAATGCCAGACAGTAATTCCTAGATCAAAGTAAATGATCTAAAGCATGCATCACATCTGATCTGGAAGTGGTCCAGAAACAGGTGTGTTGCATCTTTTGTAGCTGTAAATAGAGATTCTGGAAGGGTGATACTGCTTCCTTTTCAGGGTAAATAACCCATACTTGTTATGCCATCAAGCCAAGCAGCAAATGAATAATGTCATGAAAACATTATTAGAACAAATTAACAAATTACAATTACAATTATCAAATTAACAATTAGACTATAGTAGCACCATCATTCTAAAAATTTAAATTTGATATAAATATACATTTCCATATCAGCCTAAATTTACAAAGTCCTATAATATGTAGGATATAAGGTCAATAAGTTAAGAATTCCAGCCTTAAGGACAATTTTAAATTATAATTTTTATTCCTCAGTCACCACTGCTAATCCTTCAATTTATTTCAAAGTAACTTCTGGTTTTTATTACATTTGGAAGATAAAGCAACTTATCACATGTAGGTTACAACTTAAAATTCGTGTATGAGCCATTGCTTATATTTTCTAAATCTGACATGACCCAGGGGGTTTCTACTGCTCCTACCACCACCCAGGACATGCGATGAAGATTGTGCACGCTACCGTGAGGGCAGAAGCAGGTTAGTAGCTGTAGGAGCTGTCACATGGATTTACTATAATGCACTTGAAATTGTGTATGTGACCTTATCAGGCATTTAAGGACCATAATCTCTCCTTGACCTAAGAAATCAGCTTGAAGTAATTCACTTAGATTTCAAATTTTAATGTGGATACCCAAGGCTGCAAATCTGTTATTCAGTACCTGCTACACTTTTGGGGTTGCCTCTTTTATGCACTGTTAGAATTGCTAGAAATTTAGAAGTCCAATTGGAAAGAAGCATATCTTGTTAGAAAGTATTCCCAGAAAATGAGGAAGGCTACATTTTAACTGTGTCTTGATTTTACAGGGAGAAAAATAAAGTTAATATTTTGAGGAAAAAATAAGGCTTTTAAGATGACATGCTATATAGTAGACAAATAGTTTAACTCGGTGCCTACTTCATGTACACTGGATGTGTTAACATGAATTTATGACCTTCAGTGACTTTTTATTACCAAAACAGCTTCCTTAAAGCAAACACACACACATGCCTCTACAGTATTGGAAAATTCCGTCTCCTTAGATAAAACAATTAGGATTTTTCTTGGGCCAACTAGAATAATTAGGGCTGCAGAGTTGGAGCCTTTATATAAGGAGTTTGCAGCTCATATCCGAAGAGAGAAATGTATTTGGAAAGTCAAAAGTGTAGGTAAGTGAGAAAGCAGAGTAGTTTCAGCTTTTGCAGTTGGAGTGGGTATAATTTACTGTGTTGTCATAAGATACTGGAAAGATCTTTGGAAGAATAGGTTCTTAAAGTGTTTTCTCATGTGCCCTTACTGAAATTTCCCATTGGGCCTTCAAGACAACTCCAGTAAATACTTAAATTGATTTTCAGTGCACTGCTTTCTTTCATTTTTATTTATTTATTTTGAGACTGGGTCTTGGTCTGTTGCCCTGGCTGGAGTGCAATGGCCCAATCTTAGCTCACTGAAGCCTTAAATTCCTGGGCTGAAGAGATCCCTCCACCTGAGCCTCCTTAATAGCCAGTCATGTGCCACCCTGCCTAGCTATTTTTTTTTTTTTTTTTTTTTTTTTTTACTTTTTGTAGAGAAGGGATCTAGCTATGTTGCCCAGGCTGTTCTCAAGTAGTCCTGGCCTCAAATGATCCCTCCACCTTGGCTTCCCAGAGCACTGGGATTACAGTCATGAGCCACCCTCCTGGCTCCTTTTTTTTTTATTTTTAATAACAGAAGGGTATTTCTTTTGAATGTGAAATTTTACCACATGGTATGAATTAGTCCAAGTGTTTTTATACTAAATTTACATAATATACACTTTTCAAGTAAGTACAAAGAGGTATAAACACTGCTTATGAATTGAATGTTAAAAAATAAATCTCTATGCATTACTTTTGTCTTTCCCCATAATCTCACGTATACACATAAAACAAAAAACAAGGAGACCCAGTTATAGTTGTGGTATCTGCTGTTTCTGCCTTGAAATTTCCAGCTTACAGCTAAGCAACAACTACTGTGCATCCAGAACTTACATCTATGTTCCTAGAGTACTTGAACCCCATTCTCAAGTGCACCCTTCTTACCAGGTGGAAATAGTTCACTGCTGTAATAATCTAAGAAAACATTATGTTTCTCTCTACTTTTTTTTCTCTCATATAATCTAGGCAATTCTCCCTCTGTATCATTTTCCTGAGAAAACTAAAATAATTTTTAATCAAGACCAGATGGAACTTTGTATGGTATATTGACAGTATACCAATTGTTGTGACGAATCTTACTGCCTGTTGTAGATATCAGTGTTTGAAGTATTCCCTATGAAATAACTTTTCTGTCCCAATAATTGAGAGGGCTGTTTCATTTCCAAAAAAGGGAAGAATTAATCAATTAAAAATACATATAGTGAAATAACCTGTTTTGTAACATAAAACATAAGATGAAGAAATATCGGAACATTGATATGAAGTTTAACAGTAATGGATTATATATCCAGAAATATGAACAAATAAACCTGCAATGAAAATTTACTAATGTTACTAATTTTCACTTGTGTAACGTGAACATTACAAAGAACATAGTGTACAAAGGGAGAATGTTGGTGGGTAGGATGAGTCAAGATTTCAGAGGAAAATCAATATTTAAGACTTACAGCACTGTGGAATATATTTAATTTTCCTAAAGTTGAAGAAAATTTCAGTGAATCTATGAATTGTTTAAGACAAAGGTCACTCCGTTACTGACTTCTGCTACATCTAATTTTCCAGGGAAGTAATATTTAGAGATAAAAAGCTTTTACTCTGACCTCCGGAAATTACTTAATGATCCAGATACTCCCAAAGTCAAAGCAAATCCTTGGAGACAAGTTTGGACTTTATGAATGTGGACTTAATTCTTTAAGATCACTAGAGCAACAATAAATTACAGGAATGTACCCTCTTTATATCTGATGATTATGCATAAGTGGGGTGTGCAGTTTTAAGTTACTTTTCCTACAGTGCTGACAGGTTTAGAGTGTTAAATCCATACTCAACTTGTATTATCTTCCTCTGCTTGAGCTATGCCACCTTGAGTCAGCTGATTTGACTATTTATAATTAGATACCTAACCTATGATATGATATAGTAGATGTCAATAGTGACTCATGATTTATGTAGTAAGTCTTACCATTTTCTAAGCAGTAGTCAGGTGCCATGTGATCTAACTAAAGATTTGTATTTCTTATTTTACTTAACAATTACAGTAACCCCAATGCAGTATTATTCACTGTTGGATTTTTTTTAATGTGAAAACTTAATAACCCCTGTGGATAAGAAAGTAAGAATGATTCTTAGGTGCTTTAGGACCAAATTAATCAGAATTTAATATACCACTTTGTCTAGGTGTCATGGCGGCTAAAATATCTTTGAGAAAGTTAAACTTAGCTTTCAATCTCAGATGATCTACTTAAGAATTTGGAAAGTTTATATTATATTATTTGAGAATGGGGATTCTTGCTTAAACGAAACCTGAAGGACGGGCATCTTTCATTCAATATCTTAAAAAGAAAGTTTAGCTGACATTTAAATAAGAAAAGATACACCTAAAATAAAGTAGAACACTGGTTTAATAAAAATAGTGAACAGGTACTCCCTTGCCTTTCTATTTTTCTCTCAACTCTATTTTATTTTACCTGAAGTTTGGGGAGAAATGCTAAGATGAAATTTTTGGTGGAGTCTTTCAGAGGTTATTTAACCAGAGACTATTTTCTTTTTTCTTTTTTTTTTTTTTTTTTGAGATGGAGTCTTGCTCTATTGCCCAGGCTGGAGTGTAGTGGTGCGGTCTTGGCTCACTGCAACCTCTGCCTTCCAGGTTCAAGTGATTCTCCTGCCTCAGCTTCTCGAGTAACTGGGATTACCGGTGTGCACCACCGCACTCAGCTAATTTTTGTATTTTTAGAAGAGATGGGGTTTTGCCACATTGGCCAGGCTGGTCTCGAACTCCTGACCTCAAGTGATTTGCCTGCCTCGGCCTCCCAAAGTGTTGGTGTTAAGGACATGAGCCACAGTGTCCAGCCAACCAGAGACTACTTGTTTCGTGGCCATATTTAAACGGTCTAAGAAGGAAAAGTGAAGACTGTGTCTGTACTTTACATTAATGAACTATTACAATTTAGAAACATATATAAGTCTCCACACTTCCTTATTTTCACAAAAATGCCATAGAGAGACAAATTGAAACATAAAAAACTAGATATATTCTCTCATCCCATGAGCCAGCCATGGAAACAGAGAGCAGCTCAATTAGTAGCAGAGGAACAGGTGAATTATCATCCACTTCTATCTATGCCCTAAAAGCAGAGTTTTCTCAGAAGCTTGAAGACAGAATGTTGACTATTTATTTTCCACACATAAAGACATTCTCCTTGTGCAATCAAACTACAATGTTTAAAATCAGGAAATTTGCATTAATGTATTATTATAATCTAATCCTTCAGCCCTATTCAAGCATTAGCACTTGTCTCAATAGTGTCTTATATAACAAAAAGTTCAAGTTCAAAATCAAACATTGTATTAAAATGTTAGGTCTGTTTAGTTTCCTTTAATCTGAAACAGGTTCATATTTTTTCTTGGTTTCCGTGACTTTAATATTTTTGAAGATTTCTGCCTAGTTATTTTTTAGAATGGCTCTCCCATCTTGAGTATGTGTGATGTTTCCTCATGTATGAATGAAGCATATACATCTTTGTCAGAAATATCCCAGAAGCAATTCTGTACTCTCCTCATTATGTTCTGTTGGGTGGGCCATGGTTTTTGATTTGTCTCATTACTGATGATGGTTACTTTTATTATTTGATAAAGGTTGTATATAACTTATCTATTATGGCATAATACATTAGCTAAAACCTTAGCGGTGTAAAACAGCAGATACTTACGTTTCTCATAGGAATGGCTCTATTGAGTACCTCTGTCTCAAGGCTTCTCAAGAGTTTGTAGCTACCTTGTTGGCTGGGGTTGCGGTCTGATCTAAAGGCTTAGTTAGGGGGTGGTAGAAATCTTCCATATGTTCTTTGCTACGTGGACCTCACAGGCCTACATCATAACGTGGCAGCTGGCTTTCCTCAGAATGAACTACCCAAAAGAGAGCTAGACAGAGAGAAAACCCTCTGATTGAAGCCATAGTCTATTTATAACCTAATCTTGAAAGTGACATCACATCCCATCTGCCATATTATACAAGTAAGTGCAACGCGAATACAAGAAAGCCGGGATCATTGAGGGCTCTCCTACAGTCTACCTACCACTCTCTATACTCTGGCTCTCAATGATTCATGTTGCTCTCTCATGCAATATATCCTCATCCCCTTCTGAGGACCCCAAAATTTTCAACCCACTATAGCATCAGCTCAAAGTCCAGAAGCTTTTCATCTAAATCAAGTCCAGATGGGGAAGTGATTTTGGGTTTAATTCTTTTTTTTTTTTTCTTTTAGATTTTTTTACTTTTAGTTTTGGAGTACCTGTGCAGGATGTGCAGGTTTGTTACATTGATAAACATGTGCCAGGGTGGTTTGCTGCACCTATCAACCCATCACATAGGTATTAAGCCCAGCATGCATTAGTTATTTTTTCTAATGCTCCCCATCCCTCCCCTCCACCCCCCATCAAGCCCCAGTGTGTATTGTTCTCCACCCTGTGTCCATGTGTTCTTACCGTTCAGCTCCCACTTCTAAGAGACAACATGTGGTGTTTGGTTTTCTGTTCCTGCGTTACTTTGCTAAGGATAATGGCTTCCAGCTTCATCCATGTCCCTGCAGAGGACATGATCTCATTTCCTTTTTGTGGCGGCATAGTATTTCATGGTGTATATGTACCACATTTTCTTCATCCAGCTTTGTGATACTAAAGAGGCCAGTTACTTACTACACATTCACCAAAAATACAGTGGCAAAACAGGAATAATGTCTCTAGACATTCCTGTTGAAAAAAATGGGAAAATGCACAGACTAAAAGAATGATTGGTCCACCACATTTTAAAATCCCAGTGGTAAATGTTGCAAGTCATTTGATTATATTCAACGCCTGTGAATAATTATTCATGCCTCTCATCTCTGACCTCTAGGCTCTTCGTTCTGCCTTTTGAGTTATTCTTTTTTTTTTTTCCATGAAATACAGCTGGTACTTGCAATAGTACTTGGGTGTTGAACTTGTTAAGAGTGCATATCCTTTTTTTCAGATCCATCTATCATTTCCTAGTTGTATGTGGTTGTGTGGGTTATTTCTCCTCTTTTACATTGATTTTCTCACCTGCAAGTGAATAATAGTAACACTTTATGAGCAGGGTTATTGCAAGTAGCAAGGAGAAAATATATATTTACCATTTGCCACAATCCCTGGGGAAGTGCAGTCAATACATTGGAAAGGGTCCTCATAAGAGTTTGATGATCATTCTCAGAAATCTAGCCAGAGAAAGTCTAAATGGTAAAGGTTCCAGCTCATTATCTTCTTCCCTTTTCTCAAGTTTTCTCTCCATCTGACATGTGAGCTCAGTATTTACCATTGCCCTTTCTACAAATTTAACCAAGTTTATTTAAAAACATAATGACCTTCTATCCCAATTTACATTTTCTTTGGTGTAGAGGACGCCTTTACCTTGATGTGTGGAGACAAGCCGTTGATTTGTAAGAAACACCAATTATCAGCTTCCACTTGTGCTTCACAATCTGCTGAGTCGCTTTAACACTTTTGATGAAATTGAGCAAGGCCTTGTGATCTCTCCTGTGCCAGCCGTGAAGTGTCCACTGCACGCAGCTTGGCAGAACTATTTTCAGGGCCATAGGATGTTATGGCTGTGTGGGCAGGGAGCATTTTATTCGTCTGTTTGATTCCTATGTTTTTATTAGTGGTGCAATTGCAAAGGTAATGCTATTGACACTTTTTGTGTAGCCTTGAGAGAAGAGTATGAATTGTTTTAGTAGCAGCACAGCGTGTCCCTAAATATAAATCATGCTGTACTGATAGTTACTTTAGCAGCCACTGATCAGCAATAAATGTTAAAAATTAACAAGAAGTTTCTTTTTTTCGAAACCGCCAAATGACTCTAAGCATTAAATATATTTTAGCCGGAGTTGCTTCTCGGCCACAGAGTGGTTCACAACATTAAACATATTTTCAAAGTATTACTCCTTCCCCAGCCTCCAAGTGGTTGTAAACATTAAATATGTCTTATAAAAACTGCTTTGCCAGCTACTGGCAAGACAGCTATGAACATCATTTTTCTTTAAAGTTGCCTTCCAGCTGCGGGACTATTTTTCCTTATTTGCTCTATTCTATTTATATTTTGTACACAAAAGCAGGCAAGAGGCTACATTGGCCCAATTGTCTCTGGCTTTATGATAAGTGATCGTGGGAGAGCAGTTGCACCTCCGTAAAACCCTGCTGGCCACAGGAGCTTGCTGAAGTTCAATCACTGATACTGAATATTTCATATAGATGTCAGCTGTGTCTTCCAAAATAATTTTTGTTTTTCATTGTGCAATGTGTTGAGGCATAAAGATGGGCATGCATTAACATCAGCATTAAGAAAAATAACTTGAAGCAACCAGACACTGATGAATTATACCCACTGATTCAGGTGAAAATATTCCGTGAAGAGAACAGACTCAAATGGCAGGACTAGTATGTTAATGAGGTCTTTAACCCAAACATGATGAAAGACTTGGAACCTCTGTCTGGAAATCATCCAGTCTGACAACTGCATGCGATTCAAAAAGAGTGAAGAGTATGCTATTACATAAAGGTCTATCCAGGACTTAGAGCAGGAAATCTTTTCATTTTAACCAAATTCACAGTGAAAATAACGTGTGTCCCCTGAGTGAATTGAAAAATAAATTAGCTCTATCATCTCAGGCACAGTAATTCATCATCAGGCCAAATAATTAATTACTCAGGAAGGCTTTGATTTCTATGGGAGCCAAGTGTTCTCCAAATTGTGTAGTACTGTATCTTGCCAAATGTTTTATTTTAGGTGTATGTTCAACAGGTTCCAATATTCATCAATACCTACGTGACAGGCACTATTTTAGGTACTGGAGCTAGAACTTGAGCAAAAAAGACAAAAAGTCCTCCTCTCAGGAAGCTTTTACTCCAAAGGCCTCCTGCAGGGGCAGCAAGCTAAACTCTGTGAGCTAAATTCAACATATCATCTGTTTTTATTGGAACAGTTACACTTATTCATTTCTGTGTTGTCTATGGCTGCTTTCACACCACAATGGAAGAGCTGGCAACAGAGACCATATGGCCTGCAAAGACTAAAATATTTACTATCTGCTCCTTCACAGAAAAGTATGTTGACCCATTACATAGTGGATTGAGTTTGAGAGAGGAGATTAAGGTAAGGCCAACATTTTAAATCGACCTATGAGGAAAAAGTGTTTTTTTTCTCCCTAAAAATTACCTCTTCCAAAAGAAAACAAAACACAAAAAAACATAAAAATAAAAAGAAAGAAAATGGCAAGACCCAAGGTAAAATGAAGGGTAAAAGTGAGCACCACACTAATACATATGTATCAGCGTGAAATCAGATGCTGCCATTTAGTTCCTGCTGAAAGTGTTGGTTTGGCTTTATTAAAATAACTTAAACACAGTCTTTCAATGTTATAGACTCATGGTAAAGGTTTCTTTTTCCTTTTGTGAATTTTTAAAAATTTCTCTGCAAAAATTATTCCTCACACAATTATGTAACTTTATATTTTCGATTAAAACTAAAACTAAAAATGTTGAAAGAACAACTCGATATTGGATTAAAATATTCATTTTCCATCTTCATTCTCAGGATTCATATTTGGTTGCCTCATTGCGATATAAGTATGTTGAAAAAAATGGAAAATTGCTGAAAGCAAAAATTTTAAAACTCACCAGTATTAATAATTATCACCAAATAACTATTACAGAAAACTTCCTCAGAAAGTAAAATTAGAGTGAAGGTATCACAGGTTGGCACTATTTTCATTCCCGACCAAGAAACTGACACCTGAAAATTAAAAAAAAAAAAAAATCAGAGTCTACAGTTTTACAAATAATTAACAAAATGAACATCAAAATAGGGTGCAATTTGTTTAATTGGCAAAGGCACACAACGAAAAAGAAATATGTCAATTAAACTGTCAACCATGTTAATTTTGCCTCTGAGAAAAACATTGTAATGGGATAATTTCACGAAATGCTTTGATGACAAGAAAATGCCAAAATATGATTAGCTACTTCAAAATTCAGCTGAAACAAGAAAGCAATTGGTGGCAGCCAGAATAACCAACGGTCTTTTTTTTAATATACCTTTTTCTTTCCGTCTCTTTTTGCCTGTGTTTAATCAACAGCGTACATTTTGTTTGACAGTGAAATGATTCATAATGAAAACACTGGCATCACAAAAACTTAGCAGAAACTTTGCTATAAGATTAGAGTATACACTTCTATTTTCCCCAAACTCTTTAAAAATATAATTACTATTTCTGAAAGAATTTGTTATCTTTATGAAATAATGTATTTTTCTTACTAGCATTAAGTGCTTATTTAGCTAAAAGCCAGAATTAGAAGCAATTCACTCATATGAGTATGTTTATATTTATATTGTCAAATATATTTACTTAGAATTTAAACCAAGATATATTTTATTTATTGTTCTCATCACTGCCTGTTAGTCAGAATGGATATTTTAAATTTTACCAGGTCATGTAAATTTTACTAACTATGTTTCTTATTCCTGTTTGTTTAGAAAAATAATCTAGTCTATACCTAAGCTAACAAATAATCCTAAACATTGAAAATACACACATGATTATGAAGAATTCACTTTCTAATAAGTTTCAGCTTTTTACAAATGGCTGCTTAAATATAATGCATAAATATGACGTATTTTTAAAAATACATCTTGTTTATGCATTACTTGAACCATAACTAATCCCCATTTCCAGTCAAAAAGAACACTGTCTACATATGTTAATCTCTAATACAACAAAAGCAGGCTTAGCTTAATGGGAAACTTATTAGAGTAAAATAGTTCTTTTTATTTTGTATTTTATTTTATTATTACAATAAGAAGATTATAATTTGGTAACTAGCAGGAGAAGAAAGACTTCCAAAGATTATTTTATGGGTCCATGTATTTGCTTTTCCTGAGGGTAACTAGTGCTAATTCTAGAAAGGCAGAATGCTGTAGGAAAAACAAAATAAGCCCTGGAGTACAAAAGATTTGGATTCAAACTTTGAAGAAGGATGGGGAAGTGTTTAGGAAAGTGCTTCCCTGTGTAAAACTTAGCTGGTAAGTACCATATTTCACTGAAATTGCTGTTATAATAATTGAAACAGATTATTATTGGAAAAACAACATCAGCAAAACTAAACCCTAGATGAGTTTAAATAAGTGCCAGCCATTTTTCTCCTGTGGGGATTTAGAGTTGAAGTGGGTATCTTCGATTACTTTTCTTTATCCTCATTCTTATTCTTATAATTTTTCCTAATAAGTCACCTAAGAAGGGCATTTAAATAAGTGCTAGCCTTTTTTCTCCTATGGGGATTTAGAGTTGAAGTGGATGTCTTCAATTACTTTTCTTCTCTATTCTCGTTCTTATTCTTATAATTTTTCCTAATAAGTCACCTAAGAAGGGGATTCTAGAAACATCTCTTTCCAAGAATACATATTGTTTTAAGAAATATCAGTTACCCCAAATACTTGAATAGAAACTAGGAAAACAGGAGAGGGAGATTATAGGTGTAAACAAGGAATTACTGTGCAGTAATATGTGTAGTGGACGTGAAAAGTAATGACTTAACAGTTTGAATACACAAAGATGGACCAAACAAATACATTTATTTCTCCTTTATTCCAAATTGCCATTGAAATAGGAAAATATAGTACTTATTAAAATAACTATGGAAAGTTGAGAAGAATTCTACCAACAGACTAAAGAGTAAGCAATTTCTGAAGGACATAAGTCATATCAGAGGCACTTTAGTCTTTGGCCATAATAGAATTATTGGAGGGACTTGCCTTTTCACTATAAACAATGATAAAACTGGGCAACATATATGAGGAACCAGATTTTATGCATCAAACAAGAAGTACAAGTTTTTCATACTCAAGAGAGAAGAAAGCTGTGAGGTAAGTACCACATTTAACCAGAGAATGTGACTAGGGGCACTTTTTCTCCCATTAAACAAGGAGGCAGACTCTAAAAATAATGAGTTTAGAGGAAGAAATTAAAGCTTAAAGCTCTCATTTTGTAGGTTGTCTGCTTATTTGTTGATAATTTCTTTTGCTATGCAGAAGCTCTTAGTTTAATTAGGTTCCAAAAAGAGGTAGGGGTAGAGGGACAAGAGCCAAGGAACTTCCTGTTAGGTATTCAGTTCACTACCTGGGTGACAGGATCAGTGGAAGCCCAAACAGTAGCAGCAAGCAATATAACTTTGTAACAAACCTGCACATATACCCCCTGAATCTAAAATTACAATTAAATCTCTATCTATATCATCTCTCTCTCTATCTATCTATCTATCTATCGATATTTGTAAATAGCTTACACTTGCTTAAGTGGTTGTTATTTAAGAGCTGCTGAAGTGGCTGAAATTTGTATAGGAAAGGAAAAAGAGGCATGGGGTAGGCCTACAGAAGCCAGAATAAGTATTTGGCACCAATTTCGTCAAAAGCTGCTCTATACCTGAGCAGGGTTAACATCTGCAAGACCTGCTGAAAGCAGATACTGTGGGAATAAGATATCAGTAGTAACAGGACAAGGAGATGTTTGGGTTACTGACTAGCCACAGGGAAGATATTTTACGGAATATTCCAGGCATTAAGAACAAGGACTATTTCTTTCAGTAAAGACTATGTCCTATCTTTAAGAACAAAAATGAAAGAGATTTTCATTAACAAATAATGAAACCAGGCATGGCAGATCAAAAGGATCTGGAAGCCACTTAACAGCTTTCAAAGGACTATCTTAGGGCCTTTTACAAGAAGACAACGTCTAGATTTTCTACAGTGTATTAGTCAAAAATACAAGTTACGCAAAGAAGCAGGAAAATTTAATAAATAATCAAGGGGGAAAAAGCAGTCAATAGAACATACATCATAATGACCCAGGCATTGAAATCAACAGATATATATTATGAATATGTCCTTAGACTATGGAGATATTGTCACAATGATAGAACAAAAAAGGTAATTTTGAGAAATGAACATTGTTGAAGTAACAAGTGCAAAATATACAATGAAAGAGTCACTGGCAGGGTATACTCTCAGATTTCAGCTCTCTGAAAAGCAGACAAATAACCTTGAAAACCATTTTTGAATTTATCTAATCTCAAACAAAAGAGGAAAATGATTAAAATAAGAGATTGAATGACATGGGATATCAAGCCATCAAACCTATACACAAATGAAGTCTCAAAAGGATGAGTCAGAAAATGGGAAAGAAAAAATATATTTGAAGAAATAATTGCCAGTGTTTTCAAATTTTGATGAAAAATTTCAATGCAGAGATCCAAGAACATCGAATCAACAAGAACACATGTATGAAGGGTATAAAGCCAATAGCATAATTAAAATGAAATATTGAAAAATATCCATTTACTCTAAGGAAGGTAACACTGAACCGGTGAAGAAAGAAATATCAACAACCAAGGGAAGAGAACAACACCCAAATAAGAAAATAGTAGGCAAATAGTAACATGGTAGATTTAACAACACTGACATCACTGATTAAATGTAAATGGATTGAACATTTATATTAGTTTCCTAGGGTTATATAACAAAGTACCATAAACTAGGTGCCTCAAGCAACAAAAATGTATTATCTCAAGTCCTGAAGGCTAGAAGTCTGAATTCAAGGTACTGGTTCCTTCTAAAGGCTGTGAAGAAGAATCTGTTCTAGACATCTCTCCGTGGCTTTTAGATGGCTTTCTTCATGTTCATATGTTGTGCTTTCTGGTGGCATTTTTGTGTCCAAATTTCCCCCTTTCATAAGGCCACCAGTCACATTGGATTACAGGCCACTCTAATGATCCCATTTTGACTTGATTACATCTATAAAGATCCTATCTTTCAATAAGGTTGCATCCTTAATTACTGGGGTAAGGACTTCAACGTATGTTTTTTTTGGCAGACAATTCAACCCATAACACACTTAAATTAAGAGCTAGCAATTTTGAGACTGGATTTAAAAAGGACAAAACTATATGCTCTGTATAATGAATGCATTTTTTTTTTGAGATGGAGTCATAAAATTGGTTGAAAATGAAAGGAAGTAAAACTGATGTAGCTGGCTAATACCAGAGAAAGTAGGATTCAAAATAAGCTGAAATATCAGAGATGGAATGATAAAAGGTTAAGCTCATTAGCAATGCATTATAATTCTCAATGTTTATACAACTGATAACAGAGTGTCAAAATGCATGAAGTAAAAACAGACAGAACTAAACAGAGAAATAGACTTTCACTCATAGTTGAAGATTTTAATCATCGGCTCAAAATAAACAATAGATGAACAAATAAAAATTAGTAAGGATTTGGAAGATTCTAATAATACTATCAACTAATGTAGTCTAATTTCAAGTTTTAGAACACTACACAAAAAATTTCATGAAAATATTTTTATCAAATTTACATGGAATGTTTACGAAGGACTGTGTAGTCTCGGTCATTAAATAAGTCTCAATAATTTGCAAAAGATTAAAAATTATCTTCAGAGGTGAAACAATGGTTTTTGTGTTGATTGAGATATTGATTAAATATGTACATTTGTGAAAACTTACTAAATTGAATGCTTAATTTCTGTGCATTTTGCTGTATCTCAATTCTAATAGAAAGACAGGCAAACATATAAATACCTATTACAGACATACCTACACACACACACGTGTGTGTGTATGTGCGTGTGTGTATGTGTGTGTATAAGTCATTTGCATATATACTGGCAGTGAATCCCAGTAAAGGTGAGGAATACATATTCTCACACTGGTAGAAATGATGACTTTTTACAGTCTGATTTTTTTTGTGTTTTAATCCAGAAATAATCCCAAAATTAGAGATACAAGGGAATGGTAATTGGTCCATAGAATAAGAACTGTCCAAGAAATTTATAGCACATGACTCCCTGTCCCACGCTCAATTGAGGTTTGTTTTATGTCTTTGCTCTGGGAAGAAAGCCCCCAGTTTAGCTTTCTAAATGATGAGTTCAGAATCTACTCACAAGCATTAGAGATTAGTAAAGTTCCTTGTATTCAGTAGAGTTCCTTGCAACAAGCATGAGCAGTAGAGATGCTGCCACTTTCAAAAGACTTACATATGGACCACTGAAAAGAAAGGCATTATGTGGTCAATTTTAGAGCATGTGCCATGTGGAGATGAGAAGAATGTATATTCTGTTGTTTTTGGATGGAGAGTTCTGTAGATGTCTATCAGACTCATTCGGTGGAATGTTGGGTTCAGATCCTGAATATCATTGTTAATTTTCTACCTTGATGATCTGTCTATGACTATCAGTGGTGTGTTAAAGTCTCCTACTATTATTGTGTGGGAGCCTCTTTGTACTCTAAGAACTTACTTTATGAATCTGGGGGTTCCTGTGTTGGGTGCATATATATTTAGGTTAGTAAGGTCTTCTTGTTGAGTAAAACCCTTCATCATTATGTAATGCCCTTCGTCTTTTTTTTTTTTTTTTTTTTTGAGACGGAGCCTCACTCTGTCGCCAGGCTATAGTGCAGTGGCATAATCTCAGCTCACTGCAATCTCCGCCTCCCGGGTTCAAGTGATTCTCCTGCCTCAGCCTCCCGAGTAGCTGGGACTACAGGCACACACCACCAAGCCCAGCTTATTTTTTTTTTTTTTTTTTTTGGATTTTAGTAGAGATGGGGTTTCACAATGTTGGCCAGGATGGTCTCGATCTCCTGACCTTGTAATCCGCCCACCTTGGCCTCCCAAAGTGCTGGGATTACAGGTGTGAGCCACCACTCCCGGCCCCTTCTTTGTCTTTTTTGAACTTTGTTTGTTTGACGTCTGTTTGGTCTGAAATTAGGATGCAACCCCTGCTTTTTTCTGTTTTCTACATGCTTGGTAGATTTTCCTCCATTCCTTTATTTTGAGCCGATGGGTGTCATCACATGTGAGATAGGTCTCAAAGACAGCATACCATTGAGTCTTGCTTTTTTATTCAGCTTGCCCCCCTTTACCTTTTAAGTGGGGCATTTAGCCCACTTACATTCAAGGTTAGTATTTGATATGTGTAGATTTGATGCCCTCTCTCATGACTCCTATTCAACATAGGAAATCCCAGCCAGAGTAATCAGGCAAGAGAAAGAAATAAAGGGCATCCAAATAGGAAGAGAGGAAGTAAAATTATCCCTATTTGAAGCTGACATGATTCTATATCTAGAAAACCCCATAGTCTCAGCCCCAAAGCTCCTTCTGCTAATAAAAAAAACTTCAGCAAAGTTTTAGAAAGAAAATCAATGTACAAAAATCACTAGCATTTCTATAAACCAACAGTAACCAAGCTGGCAGTCAAATCAGGAAGGCAATCCCATTCACAATTTTCACAAAAAGAATAAAAATATCTAGGGTAAAATACAACTAACCAGGGAGGTGAAAAATCTCTACAATGAGAATTACAAAACACTGCACAAAGAAATCAGAGAGGATACAAACAAAATGGAAAACATATCATGCTCATGGATAGGAAGAAGCAATATCATTAAAAGGCCATACTGCACAAAGCAATTTACAGATTAAATGCTATTTCTATCAAACTACCAATGACATTCTTCACAAAACTAGAAACAACTGTTTTAAAATTCATGTGGAACCAAAAAAGAGGCCAAATAGCCAAGGCAATCTTAAGAAAAAGAACAAAGCTGGAAGCATCAGGCTATCTGACCTCAAACTATACTACAGGGCTATGTTAACCAAAACAGCATGGTGCTGGCACAAAAACAGGGACATAAACCAATAGAACAGAATAGAGAACCCAGAAATAAAGCCACACAGCTATGATTATCTGATCATCAATAAAACTGACAAAAACGAGCAATGGGGAAAAGACTGTCTTTTCAATAAATGGTACTGGGATAACTAACTAGCCATATGCAAAAGATTGAAACTGGACCCCTTCCATACACAATATACAAAAATCAACTCAAGATGGATTAAACACTTAAATGCAAAACACAAAATTAGAAAAACCCTGGAAGACAACCTAGGCAATACCATCCTGGACTTAGAACAGGCAAGGATTTCATGACTAAGATGTCAAAAGCAATTGCAACAAAAGCAAAAATTCATAAATGGGAACTTCATTAGTCCATTTTCACACTGCTATAAAGAACCACCAGAGACTGAGTAATTTATAAAGAAAAAGGTTTAATTGACTTGAAGTTCAGCATGGCTGGGAAGGCCTCAGGAAACTTACAATTATAGGAGAAGGTGAAAGGGATGCAATGCACCTTTTTCACAAGGCGGCAGGAAGGAGAAGTACCAGGCAAAGCTGGGAAGACCCCCTCATAAAACCATTAGATCTCGTGAGAACTCATTCACTATCACAAGAACAGCATGGATGAAACCACCCCCAGATTCAATTACCTCCACCTGGTCTCTCCATGTGGTGATTATGGAGATTATAATTCAAGATGAGATTTGGGTGGGGATACAAAGCCTAAACATATCAGGATCTCATTAAACTTATTAAGAGCTTCTGCATAGCAAAAGAAACTATTGACAAAATAAACAGACAACCTACAGAATGGGAGAAACTATTTGCAAACTATGCGTCTGACAAATGTCTAAAATCCAGCACCTATAAGGAATTTAAACAAATTTACAAGAGAAAAACAACCCCACTAAAATGTGGGCAAAGTACATGAACAGACACTTTTCAAAAGAAGACATACATGTAGCCAACAAGCATGTGAAAAAAAAAAAAAACTCAATATCACTGATCATTAGAGAAATGCAAATTAAAACCACAATGAAATATAATTTCATACCAGTTAAAATGGCTACTATTAAAATGTCAAAAAATAACAGATGCTGGCAGGTTGTGGAGAAAAGGAAACACACATTGTTAGTGGGAGTGTAAGTTAGTTCAACTATTGTGGAAAGCAGCATGGCAATTCCTCAAAGAGATAAAAGCAGAACTACCATTCCAACCAGCAATCGCATTACTGCATATATACCCAGAAGAAAATATATCATTCTACCATAAAGACACATGCACACAAATGTTCACTGCAGCAATATGCACAATGGCAAAGACATAGAATCAACCTCAATGCTCATCAATAAGAGTTTAGATAAAGAAAATGTGGTATATAGACACCATGGAGCTATAAAAAAGAATGAGATCACGTTCTTTGCAGTAACATGGATGGAGCTGGAGGCTATTATACTGGGCAAATTAACACAGGAACAAAAAACCAAATACTAGAAAATACTGCATGCTCTCACTTACAAGTGGGGAACTAAATTATGAGAACACATGGACACAAAGAAGGGAACAGCAGACACTGGAGTCTACTTGAGAGTGGAGGGTGACAGGAGACAGAGGAGCAGGAAAAATAATTGTTGAGTACTTGGTACCTAGGTGACAAAATGATCTGTACAACAAACCCTGATGACACGAGTTTACCTATATAACAAACTTTCACAGGTACTCCCAAACCTAAAATAAAAGTTAAAAAAAAAAGAAGAAAGCAAGCCCAAACCCATGCTGTACCACATGGCAGCATGGCATTGCAATTTTCAATTACTTGGGGGAAATAAAGATTCTCATGTGATTAGAGGAAATAATCTTTATTTAATAATAATGCTTAATAAGAACACTTGACAATAGATGGCTGAGAAAACCAAGAATCACCAAATATTTAAATAAAAATAAAAAATAAAGAATATCCTATCTATGAAATGATATAAACACTAAGAAAATAGAATTAACAGAAGAAACTAAAGAAAATGTCAATAGCCTTGGTGTCCATACAGGAATAGGAATCACAAAAATAACCATAAAATATTTTTAAAAATACCTTTTACGAGCAATACTCCAGAATGTCAGAAATTAAAAATATCATTAGCAAAATAAAATGTAGTAAACAGAATAAATAATATAAAAGATAAAACTGATGTCTAAAGATTACCCCAGAATCTGAACTGCATGAGGGGGAATAATAATTACATTACTGGATATGAGAACAACTATTTAATAGACACATCTACTTGGATGACAATGCTTTTTTTTAAATGTCAAATTTCCAGTTTATTAATTTTAATACATTTCTGATCAAAATTACTCATTTCTTTTTGTGCCCTTATTTTTTGCATTAATTTTCATTTTTTACATCTCCATGCTGAATTGAAAAAAACTTCTACTGACCTGTATTTCAGTATATTAATTATTCCTTCAATGGTATCTAATCTGGTGGTAAATTATCTATTATATTTAATTTAAGTAATCACATTTGTATTTTAAATGTTTTGCTTATTTCATCTACAATATAATACTAACACAGTTTTTTCTCTACAATTAGTTTAAGCTTTTAACTAAATTTTTAAAGAGTAAAATATTTATTATCTTTCTCTGATATTGTCCAATGTTTGAAGTCTTTGTGGTTCTAATTATGTTTCATGTTGTTTTTGTTGATTTTAACTTATTTTGCCTTGTTTCACTGTGTTCTTGAGAATATTGTAAGATTTAGCTTCAGGGTATTTTTATAAAGCATTCAGATTTGCTTCTCCCTAACACCTGGGCATACGAGTAGGACCACCTTAAAAAAATGTTCAATTTTTGAGATTACCTGAGTCACGCAGTCACACAAACCCAAGTAGTGGATCCAAGCTACCACTGCTTTAGGTCTGTCTGGTTCACCTTATGCTGAGGGTATAAGATTTGGTCATCTCAATCTTTTAAGGGAGGGCTCCTTAAGAAGACTTAACATATGCTAATCTTCGGTTTTGGTTTCTTTCTCATTCACCCTGAAACTGTCAAAATAAATATTAATATTTGTAGAGATCGGCAAATTGCAACTGGTAAGGTTATATCCTTACCTCTCTGGGTTCTTCTTTTCTCTTCAAATTTGGTTTGATCACTTATTAAAATTTTATAAGCTCTCAATGCTTTTTAAAAGGTGTTTTAAATGTGCAATCACTAGCATTTTTTAAAGTTTTTTCATTGGGAATTATAGTCTGAATAATATCCCACCATAACTAGAAAATGAAATACCTACCTATTACAAATGCAATACATTTTATATATTGAGTAATTTGCCTTTTTCTAATTAATTTTATTTTAAAACTCATATTAAAATCTATATTTTATAAGAAAAAAAAAAGCTTGACATTTGATTAAGACCAACTTAGCTTCACAAATCTCTACCCGAATGACCACAGGCAAGTGATCTGACATTTGCAAGTGCCTATTTTTTTTTTTTCATTTATAAAATGGAAATACATAACTGAGCTTAATGTGGATCAAAGAAATTAATATGTAAAAAAAATCAAACACAGAACCTGAAAATGATAGGAAGTCAATTATTCAGCCTACCTATCCACTACTAAAATAATTCTTGGTTATGAACTTCACAAGGGAACACACTGTATTACTACTCTACTCAATAACATGAATTTCATTGTGTATCTTCTGGGGCAAGTGCTTCTTCCAAACAAATTAAACCATGCCACTCACACAATGTTCATCTATCTCATAAGTTTTTGCTATTCTCCTGTTGATTTTACATTTAATGAGGGATAAATTCTATTTTCACAATCATAATCAAATAGTACCTAGAGAATAAAAGCTACTAAGACAAGACAACCCTCAATTCAATTAATAACTAATCCCTCTCTTTTTCAGAGGTACATCAGTTGTTCCTCCAGGATTAAAACCCCTCCTGTTTTACAATAAAAAAGCAGACAGATGACAGGATCTCATTAAACATCTATTGTGCACCCACACAAAAAAAATTAAGTAGGCAGATGCTCTGATTATTTAAAGCAACACACAGAGTTTTAGGATGAAGTTTTATTTCTGAATTTTAACTTATGCACAACTTGTAAAATGTTACTTCATTTATAAATAAAGCAGCACTAACTTGGTAACTTGGAATCACTGTATTTTTCTTCATAAAGAATAAAGTCAGGATAACAGTTAGCTCTCTTTGTTTCTGAATAATGATTCAACATTAATTTAGATATTAGAAGCTCTCACATGCAAGTGTGTGTGCATGCACTCACACACACTACTCTGAAGAGGTAGAATATGAGGAAATAAGATACACATACACAGAGAAGGAATATGTAACATTTAATTTTAACCTCAATGACAGGAGGAGGAGCACCAATAATCTAAAAAAAAAAAAGAAATCCCAAAAGTTTTGGATTAGCTGCCTCTCTAGCTAAGTATATATTTTATTGCTAATCAATATGGCATGACCAAAATTATAGCAATGAAAATAGTCATAATTATCATCAAGTAATGAAAATAATATTTATGTGCTCAACAGTATTACTTATATATTCTGATTAAATCATGTGCTATTGAAAGCAGGATGAAGTAGAGCTTATTTTATATCTTAGAATTCTTTTCCATCAATGTCAGTTTAGGAAATGAAAGTTATTAGAATTTCAATGTAATTAATTCATTTGCAATTGGTGTCTATTTGGTTATGTATTTTTTCATAGATATAGTCTGAGAGACATTATCTGGTAACTTTTATCATGTCTCTGAGAAACCAATTTTCTGTAAGGCCTAATTTTTTTTCTTAAATAAATATGTATCTGCTCATGCATATACCAACTTCATGGATTCCAAACAATAAAAAAGTTAATTGTAAGGATTGGACAGAATCTACATTTTAAATGCTATTTAAAACATTATCACACTGTAGTGGAGGAATCATAAACTGCAGAAGTTTTTCAACCATGCCACCACAAACTACATCTCTACAAAATGTTTTGTACTTTTACTTTAAAGAACTAAAATTGGAAACAAAGAGTGGAGAATTATTTCTTCCCTTTCTCTTCCCTTCATCCTCATTCTAGCACCAGTCATACCTGACCATGATTTTTAAAGAGTATAAATTACTCCTCTTCTCAGAGGTAGAAATACACAGAAAAATACACAAAAACCAAATTCTGTCAAAATATATTTAAAGAGGTTTATTCAGAGCCAGTATAAGTGACCAAGGCCTGGGTTACACTATCTCAAGAGGTTCTGAAAGCGTGCCCAAGGCAACCGGGTTACACTTTGGTTTTATACATTCCAAGGAGACAACCAACTGCAGGTAATTGCAGGTAGGTCAGGGTAGGAGCTTGTACGTCATAAGGGGCTTTTAGGGATCCTTTAGTTGACAATTGGTTGAGAGAGTTATGCTATCGTCTAAAGTCTTGAAATCGATAGAAAGGAATGCCTGAGTTCAGATAAGAGTGGGGGAAAGACCAAGGATCTTATTAAGTAGATGAAGCCTCATAGGTGGCCCTCAGAGAGAATAGATGGTAAATGTTTCTTTTCAGACCTTTAAAGGTATCAGACTCTCAATCACTCCTAGGTCCTGGAAAGGCATAGAAAGGGGAAGCATGGCTGCATTAATGAAGATTCTCCATAGATGCAAATTTCCTCTACCTCAGTTTGCTGGCCTTGCAACAGCCATTTCAAAAGACATCAAAGAAATATATTTTAGGGCAAAATATTTTTATATCCTTCAGGGTCTGCTGTCTGTTATGTGATGCTGTACCAGAGTCAGGTTGGAAAGCAAGCCACATTATATAGGGTTAATAAAAAACCCATGTAAAGAGATGTTATCATTCGTAGGGCTGACTCCCAGTTTCTTTAAATAGGAATTTGGGCAAGATGAAAAAAAAAAATCAGAATTTAGTCCTCAACTCAAATATTTTATTCATTCAAACGCTTATTCAAACTACCGAATCCTCCAATAACAGAAAGTATAGTGTCCATCCTGAAGACTTTCATCCCATCTCACAGCATGTTTTCTCCTAGTACACCCTGATTGTCCAAGGACTTCTGAGAACACCATTCCAGAAGAGGTCATGATCTCAACAACTGTCACAGAAAGAAAGAATACAGGAAGACAAGATGCGAAAGTTATGTCAGTGGCTTTCATTCATCACACCACTACGTACTGGTTCTCTAGTACTGTGCTGTTATGATCCTCCTGACTTTTACCCTGTGAATATCCTAGTGCTTTTATATCAGTCTCACATCCTCAACACGCTGGTTTCCATAAAAATGCAACCAAGTCAGATGGCTGTGATCTGGTGGGATTCTAGTTCCATTTGCAGCCTCCAAAGCAGTCTTTTACCTAAGAACACTCAGGCCTCCAAGGTTAAGATAACAGTATACTCCAATGCAAAATTCTCTACCTCCCTACTTCAGGTCCCAGGGACTCTCAACTGCCAGTCACTCTTTGAACAATAAGAACAGACACTTAAATGATGATAACTAATGGCAGCAGCACTAATGTAAGAACGCTGGAACTATTAGTACTCTCATCTTCCAGATGAGAGAACTCAATAACATGATTTACATAAACTGCCTGAAGATACAGTAGAATAATAATAATGAAATCCAGGCATTGTGGACCTGAATGCTGCTACCTAGCTACTCCTCTTTGTGGCTTCTCCATTGTCTTTTCCTGCCAGTTCAGTTCTAACAGGAATAAACAGACGCTATTCAAAAGCTTTTCAAGTCTGAATGAAGATGTACCTAGGGTTGGTGTTGATGAACTTTCCCTCACTCTTCCTTAAGGAAATTTGTTCTTTCCTGCCATTTGAGAGACATGTTCTTCCTCTTCTTCTTCAAAGAGCTAAAAATGCACCTTTATTTGCATAATGAAGATAGTGCAGTGAAGTACTTTCTTGCATTGTCAAGGAAATGAGCTCCAAAGGAACTTCCTTTTAGCATAGAGAAAGCTGCTGTTTTTATTTACTTGCATTTTGCATATGAATATATTTTAATTTAGTTTCAACAGGTAACTGAATTAGAAAGTGAAATTATAAAGTCATTTCTCCAAGAAAGAAGGTAGAGCTTATAAATATTAGTAATCTTAGCTGGGCACGATGACTTACGCCTGTAATCCCAGCACTTTGGGAGGCTGATGCGGGCCAATCACCTGAGGTCAGGAGTTTGTGACCAGCCTGGCCAATATGGTGAAACCCTGTCTCTACTAAAAGTACAAAAATTAGTCTCTACTAAAAATACAAAAATTAGCCATATGTGGTGGCACGTGCCTGTAATCCCAATTACTTGGGAGGGTGAGGCAGAAATTGCAGTGAGCTGAGACTGCACCACTGCACTCCAGCTTGGTGAACAGAGTGAGACTACGCCTAAAAATAAATAAATAAATAAATAAATATTAATAATCTTTTAAAGAAATGATTGTGGCTATTTCTAGGTCTAATGATACTTGCTTAATCGTATTGAAAACAATGTTATTTCTTTGAATGGCAATGGAATGTAAAATATTTAAAAACGCAATTTGACTTTTTTTACTTTTTAAAATTTATGTAGCTGGGCCGGGCACCCTGGCTCATGCCTGTAATCCCAGCACTTTGGGAGGCTGAGACTGGAGGATCACAAGGTCAGGAGATCGAGACCATCCTAGCTAACACGGTGAAACCCCGTCTCTACTAAAAACACAAAAAAATTAGCTGGGCGTGGTGGTGGGCACCTGTAGTACCAGCTACTCGGGAGGCTGAGGCAGGAGAATGGCATGAACCTGGGAGGTGGAGCTTGCAGTGAGTTTGAGATTGCTCCACTGCACTCCAGCCTGGGTGACAGAGCGACACTCTGTCTCAAAATAATAATAATAATAATAATAATAAATAAAATAAAATTTATGTAGCTGATATATTACTATAACCTCACTTGCATTTTTAAATTATTTTACTGGTTCTCTCTTTTTACTTTTATCTTACCTATGCTGTATTTGAAGTTAGTTTTATATAGACAGAATTTTAAAAATTATTTATTTATGGGGTACAAATGCAATTTGGACAATATTGTTGGCCATGGTTTTTCGTTTTTGATTTTTGTTTTTTTAACTACTCTGCCAATCTATGTTTTTTAGTTGGTTTCTATAGGCCTTTTATGTTTAACAATTTGTATGTTGTGGTTGATGTCTACCACTTTGTTATTTGTTTCTGTTTGTTTCTGTTTCTTATTCCTCTGTGTCTTTTTCTTGCTTTCCAATGGGTTACATAAACATGTTAAGTTTCCATCTTAATTTATTTATAGTGTTTTAAATACAATGTTGCATCACTTAATGACAAAAATTACATTCTGAGAAATGCATTAGGCAATTTCTTCACTGTGTAACATCATATAGTGTATTCTATGTGTAAATAGAGATAGCATAACCTACTACTCACCCTAGGTTATGTGGTACAGCCTATTGATCCTAGGCTACAAACCTATACAGCATGTTACTGTGCTGAATACTGTAGGCATCTGCAACACAACGGTAAATATTTGTGTATCTAAACATAAAAAAAGGTACAGTAAAAAATCCAGTCAAAACATCAAAAATGGTATACCTGATTAGGGCACTTACTATAAATGAAGTTTGCAGGGCTAGGAGTTGCTCTGGGAGAGTTAGTGAGTAAGTGGTGAGTGAGCGTAAATGCCTAGGGCATCATTGTACAAAACTGTAGACTTTATAAACACTGAATTTATAAAATTTATAAAGAAACTTATTTCTTTCAAAATACATTAAACTTATCCTACAGTAACTTTTTTACTTTATAAACTTTTTAACTTATTTTTAACTTTTTGACTCTTTTGTAACAACACTTAGCTTAAAACACATATTGTACACAGAAATACTTTATTTCCTTATATCCTTATTCTCTAAGATTTTTTTGTAATTTTACATCTTTTAATTTTTAATTTTTTTTTTGTTGTTGTTAAAAACAAAGACACAAATGCACATACTAGCGTAGGCCTACACAGGGTCAGTATGATCAACATCACTGTTTTCTACCTCCAGATCTTGTCCCACTGGAAGCTCCTCTAGGCCAATAATGCATATGGATCTGTCGACATCTATGATAACAATGCCCTCTGAAATGCCTCGTGAAGGACCACTGTGAGGCTGTTTTACAGTTGCCTATTACTTTTTTTTTTTTTTTTTTTTGAGACAGAGTCTCGCTCTGTCGCCCAGGCTGGAGTGCAGTGGCGTGATCTCGGCTCACTGCAAGCTCCGCCTCCTGGGTTCACGCCATTCTCCTGCCTCAGCCTCCCGAATAGCTGGGAATATAGGCGCCCCCCACCAGGCCTGGCTAATTTTTTGTATTTTTAGTAGAGATGGGGTTTCACCATGTTAGCCAGGATGGTCTCCATCTCCTGACCTCGTGATCTGCCCGCCTCGGGCCTATTTCTTTTAATAAGTAGAAGGTGTACACTACAATAACAATAAAAAATATGGTGTAGTAAATACACAAAAATGTAATATATTTGTTTATTATTATTACTAAGTAAAATGTACTTGTATTAGTCCATTCTCACACTACTATAAAGACACTACCCGAGATTGGGTAATTCATAAAGGAAAGAGGTTTAATTGAGTCACAGTTCTGCATGGCTGAGGAGGCCTCATGGAACTTACAATCATGGTGAAATGGGAAGCAGTCATCTTCTTCACAAGACAACAGGAGAGAGAAGGATTGTGTGTAGGAGGAGCTGTGAAACACTTAACAAAACCATCAGATCTCCTGAGAACTCACTCACTATCGTAAGAACAGTATGGCAGAAACCGCCCACATGATCCAATCACCTTCCACCAGATCCTGCCCTCAACACATGGGTATTATGAAGATTACAATTCAAGATGAGATTTGGGTGGGGATATAGAGCCAAAATATATCATTCCACCCCTGGCCCCTCCCAGATCTCACATATTTTTTACATTTCCAACCCAACATCATGCCTTCCTAACAGTCCCCCAGAGTCTTAAATCATTTCAGCAGTAACTCAACAGCCCACAGTTCAAAGTCTCATCTGAGACAAGGCAAGACGTTTTGGCCTATAAGCCTGTAAAATCAAAAGCAAGTTAGTTACTTCCTAGATACCATGAGGGTACAAGAATTGGATAAATGCTCCCATTCCAAATGGGAGAAATTAGTCAAAACAAAGGGGATGCAGGCCCCATGAAAGTCTGAAACCCAGCAGGGCAGTCATTAAAACTTAAAGCTTTAAAATAATCTCCTTGTCTCCATGTTTCACATCCAGGGCATGTTAATGCAAGAGGTGGGCTCCCATGGCCTTGGGCAGTTCCTTCACAGGCTGGCATTGAGTGTCTGTGGCTTTTCCAGGTGCACAGTACAAGCTGTTGGTGGATCTTCCATTCAGGGGTCTGGAGAACAGTGGCCCTCTTCTCATAGCTTCACTAGGCAGTGCCCCAGTGGGGAATCTGTGTGGGAGCTCCAACCCCACATTTTCCTTCTGCACTACCCTAGCAGAGGTTCTCCATGATGGCTCCACCCCTGCAACCAATCTCGGCCTGGACATCCTGGCATTTCCATACAACCTATGAAATCTAGGCAGAGGTTTCCACACCTGAATTCTTGACTTCTGTGTACCCTCAGGCCCAACACCATATGGAATCCTCCAAGGCTTGGGGCTTGCACCCTCTGAATCAACAGATGAGCTGTACATTGGCTCCTTTTAGCCACGGCTGGAGCTGGAGTAGCAGCAGCTGGGACACAGGGCACCAAGTCCTGAGGTTGCCCAGAGCAACGGGGCCCTAGGCCCAGCCCATGAAACCATTTTTCCCTCAGAGGCTGCTGGGTCTGTGATGAGAAGGGCTGCCATGGAAGTCTCTGATACGCCCAAGAAAAATTTTGCCATTGTTTTGGCTACTGTAATAACATTTGGCTTCTTGTTATTTAGGCAAATTTCTGTAGCCAGCTTGAATTCCTCCCCTGAAAAATGGGTTTTTCTTTTCTACTGCATGGTCCGGCTGCAAATTTTCCAAACTTTTATGCCCTGCTTCCATTTTAAACATAAGTTCCAATTTGAGATAATGTTTCTCAAATTAAAAGTTCCACAGATCTCTAGGACAGGGGCAAAATGCTTCCAGTCTCTTTGCTAAGGCAGAGTAACAGTGATCTTTGGGCTCTAGTTCCTAATGAGTTCTTGTCCATCCAAGACCACCTCAGCTTGGACTTCACTGTCTATATCACTATCAGCATTTTGGTCAAAACCATTCCACAGGTCCCTAGGAAGTTTCAAACTTTCTCACAACTTCCTGTCTTCTTCTGAGCCCTCCAAACACTTCCAACCTCTGCCCGATACCCAGTTCTAAAGTCACTTCCTCATTTTCAGTATCTTTATAGCAGTGCCCCACTCCCAGTACCAATTTACTCTATTAGTCTGTTCTCACACTGCTATAAAGATACTACCCAAGACAGGGTAATTTATAAAGGAAAGAGGATTAATTGACTCATAGTTCTGCATGGCTGGAGAGGCCTCAGAAAACTTACAATCATGGTGGAATAAAAGCAGTTGGCTTCTTCAAAAGGCAACAGGAGAGAATGAGTGTGTCTAGGAGAAATTTTCAAACACTTTTAAAACCATCGGATCTCATGAAAACTTACTCACTATCATGAGAACAGCATGAGGGAAACTGCCTCCAGGATCCAATCACTTCCCACCGGGTCTTGCCCTTGACACGGGAGGATCATGAGGATTACAATTCAAGATGAGATTTGGGTGGGGACACAGCCAAACAATATCAGTACTAGACAGAATTTTATGTGCTACACTTTTATATAACTGGCAATGAAGTAGGTTTGTTTACACCATCATTGCCACAAACAGGTGAGAAATATGTTAGACTATGATGTTAAGACAGCTCAGCTGCAATGTCACTAGGTAATATTCATCTCCATTATAATCTTATGGGACCACCATGATATATGCAGTCTACTGCTGAGCAAAACATCGTTATGCAGTGCATGATTGTACATGATTTTGTTTGGTTTTATTAATTGCACTGGTTAAAATAATATATGTGTAATGTCAAGATCTACTGTTACTGATGTTTTACCTCTTTGAGTGAAGTGTAGAAAACTTGTTTCCATATGAGTCTCTTTACTATCACTACTTTTTAGATATAATTATCTTAAATACTTCCTCTATGTTCCTTGAGCATCTAACCAGATAGGTCATTAATTTTTGCTTCAACTATTAGAAATGGCTTAAAAACTTAAGAGAAGTTTGATTATACATTATATTTATGCTTAATTTTACCCATTTAGATGGATGTTTGTAAAAGCTGCAAACCTTCTTCTTTTATCATTTCTTTTCTGTTTAGAGAACTTATTCTTTAAAGGTAAGTTTGTTAGCAACACATTACCTTAGCATTCTTTCATTAGACAATGTTTTCTATGTCACTTTAATGCCTGAAGAATATTATTGCTGGGTATTGAATTTACAGTTCACAGTTCTGTTCTTTCAGTACTTCAAAAATATTATCTGTTTCCTTCCAACCTTCATGGTTTCAGATGGAAAATCTGCTGTGGTTTACATTATTGTTTTTCTGTAAGAAATGTGCCATTTTTCTCTGTTTGCTTTCAAGATTTTTAATTTTTTTTTTTCATTTCCAGAAATTGAATGTATTTGGGTGTATTCTATTTAGGGTTTGCTCTGTTTCTTGAATATTTAGGTTTATGTCTTCCATCTAATTTGGGAAGGTTGAAGTCATTATTTTTTAATAGTTTTTTAGTCCCACATTCTATCTCCTCGTCTTCTATATCTCCTGTGATTATGAATGTTAGCTCTTTTATTATTGTTCTAAAGTTTCCTGAAATGCTGTTAAATTTTTTTTTATCGGTTTTCTTCTTCTTGTTCAGACAGTAAATTCTGTTGGCATGTTTTCAGATTCACTGATTCCATCTTCTGCTCTGTGCTCTCTTCTTTTGTGACCATCCTCTGCATCTATTATTTCCATTATTGTATTTTAATTTTATTTAGTTCATGTTTACTTTTTATAACTTATAAGTCATTATTGAATTTATTTTTAATTTTAACTTTTATTTGTTCCAAGAGAATACAATATATAATTGCTTATTTAAACACTTTTATGATGGTTTCTTCAAAATCCTTGTTAGATAATTCCAACCTCTTTTTTTTTTTTTTTTTTTTTTTTTTTTTTGTCTGAAACAGTCTCACTCTGTTACCCAGGCTGGAGTGCAGCGGTATGATCTTGGCTCACTGCAACCTCCATCTCCCAGGTTCAAGTGATTCTCCTGCCTCAGCCTCCCAAGTAGCTGGGATTACAGGCATGTGCCAATGCACCCAGCTAACTTTTTATATTTTTAGTAGAGGCGGGGTTTCACCATGTTGGACAGGCTGGTCTTGAACTCCTGACCTCAAGTGATCCACCCATCTTGGCCTCCCACAGTGCTGGGATTACAGGTGTGAGCCACTGCGCCCAGCCCCAACCCCTTTTTTATGTCTGTGTTGGTGTCTGTTGTCTTTCTCTCATTCAGGTTATGATTTCCTAGTTCTTTTGTCTTATAAGTGATTTTTATTGTGTCCTGAATTTTTTTTTATATTATGAGAATTTTTCTCTCTTATTATTTCGTAGATGGTTCCCTATTGATGTGTAACCTGAGAGCTGGGTGGGTGTGCGTGTTTATCTTCCTGATGGGACCTACTAATACCATCCTACCAAAAGTAGAGTACTAACTTATACTTCCTTCTTGCAGACTGGTTAGGTGGAAGTTTGTCTTCTCCCTCCACCCACTGGCAACCTCATGGCAAAAGTAGGGTACTGAGTTACATATCTTTGTTTCCTCCAAGTGAAAAAATAACCTCACTTCCCTGATGTGGTCCACTGACACCAGGGAGGGGGTGAGTAGGGGCCAACTCATACCACTTGGTTGCTTCCAAGGAGTAGGAGTGGGGAGAAGCTGTGTAAGAACAGAACTGATCATTAAAGACCCTATTATAAATTCTTGCTTTTATAGTACTTATTCTCGTGGCTTAAATATTCCACACCAATTAATCACCACGGAATATATGAGACATTATATTAATTATTAAATTTTACATGGCAACACTAACAATATTAACTCCCATTTTCTATCTCTTTAATTGAGGTCATTCTTTAGAAGTTTAAGTATAATCCATTCTTCTGTCCTACACGACTGAGTGAAATAGCATGTAGCAGCAACATATAGTACCAGTATGTAATCCTAATGCAATGGCACACCCCAGATGACCCTTTTGTGTATTGGGATTGACCATGGTTTTTCAGTTTAATCAAAGTTTAATTGATTAAACTCGGGGTTCACATTTTCTTTCTACACACCAATATTGAAGAGAAGTACTACAAAATACATAGGAGCACTAAACTGGTAGTAATAAGAAAAACTAAAATATTTAAGATAATGTGTTGCTTTTATTTCTAATATTAGCTACTGATACAATCAAAGCACTGCGGCTCAGTTTTCTCTTTTGTAAGAGGACAAGTTTGTATTAGTTAATCTTTAAATGTCTCTACAATCTGATTCTGAGATTGTGAATAAATAGATCTAAATACTGTTACAGGTATATAAATACAGATATAAATGCAGGTATGGGTAAAATTATGGCTATGGGTCCCAGCCTTAAATTCTTATTTTTTTATAACTAATTGATGTTCAGGGATAGATTTATGTGATCTGCTCATTTGCAGGGGCCCATCACTTGGCTAATTCTTTGGTGTCATTCGTGTCAAGTTTTAAATAATTTTTGAGTAAGATGTCCTATATGTTAATTTTGCACTGAACACTGCAAATTTTGTAGCTGTTCCTGTTAATTTGTTAATGAAATTTCTCTTTAGAAACTATTAAATTAATAAGACAATAATTAAGCAAATAATTATTAAATTTTACATGGTAACACTAGCAATATTAACTCCCATTTTCTATCACTTTAATTCAGGCCATCCTTTAGAGGTTTAAGTATAATCCATTCTTATGTCCTACACAACTGAGTGTGTAGTACCAGTATGTAATCCTAATGTAATGGCACACCCCAGATGACCTTTTTGTGTGTTGGCATGGTTTTTCAGTTTAAGCAAAAGTTTAATTGATTGAAACTTGAAGTTCACATTTTTTTTTCTACACACCAATATTGAAGAGAAGTCCTACAAAATACTTATTCTATGGAAAAAAACAAAGTCCACTTTAGATCTAAAATGGTTGCATAAAATTTTGAGAATAACTTAAATGTTATATGAATGTAAGTAAAAATTTTACTGTAAACTTTGTAATTGCTAACTATAAACAGAAAACAAGTATATCTTATATAAAGAAATGTGTAGACTCTCTGTATTAATCCATTTTCACATTGCTATAAAGAATACCTGAGACAGGGTAATTTACAAAGGAAAGAGGCTTAATTGACTCACAGTTCTGCACGGCTGGGGAGGCCTCAGGGAACTTACAATCATGGTGGAAGGGGAAGCAGGCACGTCTTACATGGCAGCAGGGGAGAGAGAGCATGTGAAGGAGGCACTGTCAAACACTTGTAAAACCATCAGATCTCATGAGAACTCACTCACTATCATGAGAACATCTAGGGGAAACTGTGCCCATGATCCAATCACCTCCCACCAGGCCCCTCAACACATGGGCATTATGGGAATTACGATTCAAGATGAGATTTGGGTGACAGCACAGAGCCAAACCATATCACTCTCTGTGCCTTGTATTTCTCATACTAGTCAATGCCAACTCATTAAAAGTTATCTGGAGATATAACATTTTTGGGGGATTATATATTGCCACTACTGTTATATTTTTGTCAGGATAATGTAGCAATTCCCAAATAAATCATACTTAAACCTCCACAGAAAAGATAAATAGAAATGAGAATTCCATTGCCAGCATTGCTTTGAAAAACGTTTCAGAACTTTGAATATATATACTCATAAACACACACACATACACAGATATATATTTCTGCATGTGTATATACATATATGGATACATATGTTCTTAAACTTTCTTTTAACAGAAAAATTAAAATAGAAGGAAAATAATAGAGCACTAGTTATATAACTAGTATTATATAAATAATGTTATGTAACTAGTTATATAATTAAAAATATAAGAACCTAGGTGAGAATGAGAAAATCTAGATTTAGATTTACTACTTTTCCTAATACACACCCACACACATATATGTATGTGTGTGTGTGTGTGTGTGTGTGTGTGTGTGTGTATACTGTATTTGTCTCATAGTGGCTGGAGCACATTACTACCAACTTAGTGGATTAAAACACCACAAATCTACTATCTTACAGTTCTGCAAGTAAAGACTAAAATAGAGTCACATAGGTGAAAATCAAGAGCTTCTACTCTCTTGAGGCTGCTTGGATTCTTGGCTATAACCCCTTTCTCCATCTTGAAATTCTGTCACTCCAACCTCTGCTTTCATAACACATCTCCCATCTCCTTCCTAACTCGAAGGCATCTTCTCAGTCTTACAAGAACTCCACTTGGGTTCACATTTGGAACACCCAAATAACCCATCTTAATATTCTCATCTCTAGATCCTTAAATAATTGCTTCTACAATGTCCTTTTTGTCATGGAAGGTGACATTTTCACAGGTTCCAGAAATTAGGACGTCGACATTTTAGTAAGCCATTATTCTGTCTACCACAGTGGCCTTGAATAGAAATCCTTCAGTTTTCATATACAGAAACAAAACGTTCTTCCAAATGAGGAAGCTAGATTGGGAAAAAAAAAAGTCAGCCACACAGGTCTCCCCATTAAAACTTAAAGATGGTTACATATTTTATTCTGAGTTAAAATGGAGAGTCTTCCTATATAACTCTCTTTCCACTGTATGATTTATCACTTAATAGCTCTCCCTTTCCGTTGTATGATTTGTCACTTAATATCTCTCTCTTACTTGAAGTCAGAGAACAGCAAACAGTTTGCAAAATATATAAATAGTCTATAAGTTGTGGTCCAAATAGTTCTTAGAATTC